>NC_000004.12:150133502-150436532 GCF_000001405.40 Homo sapiens | reverse complement strand
TGAATTTTTTTCTTAAATTTGCCCCTTCAGATGCTTGCTGTCTTACCAGATTCCAAATTGTAGCATAAATTCTTTTAAAATGTAGTCTATTAAAATAAGAACTAAGTAAGTTGTTACTAACACAGACATGTACTTATATATTTTGGAAGGTTGTCCCAAATGGAATAAGGTAAGTTTGTTGGTAAAACTAAGGCTGTCGTGTATTGATAATATATTGGTTAAACAAGAAATGTTTCTGTGAAATTGAAAGGTGATTCATCTACTAGAAAGCAATTTCTTCGGAAAAGCATTAGCAGCACATCATTAATTAAAGCTTGTTAGAAGGATACAGGCAGACATAAATCCTAGAAGTAATTTATAGTGCTTAGCTAATTTCAAGCAATTATCCACTAATATGTGTTTAAGTGTTCTTTAACTAAGAGGAGGCTTTTAAATCATCCAAACATTTTTCTTTTCTTAATCATAAATTAAATATTGAGCCATAACAATAGGAAAACTACATACTGGACTATTCCCTGTACTATGAAGAAAATACATCTAATTTATGTCTGTATGATATTAATACATTATTCTTGGAAAGGAAGGCTACCTGAAGAAAATGTTGCAAATACCAAATTTTTGAAATATTTAGAAATATTTCTTTTGAGGGAAAAATAACTTGAGAACATTAATGTAATAATTTAGATATAATTCTCATTATATACCTAGTTTATATTACTAGTGAATGCCTATTAGTCATTAAAGTATTTAGTTCTAAGAATTTATAAAAACCACATTTTTATGCCTGAGGGAACATATGGATTTTTTTAATTGCTATTTTTTAGGAACCCTTTACAACTTATTTCCTAAATTTGCAAGGAGGCAAATTTGATCATGCAGATCGAACTTTTTCATCAATTTCCAGAGCTTGGCGAAACAGTCAGCGTGATACCTCTGATATTAAGGTACAGAAATGTTTTGTTTTATAGTTGTTATTGCCAGTGCATTACTTGTTGAGTGAATGTTGAAAATTTTCTCTACTGCCATACAGCCCTATTTACAAAAGATAAATCTCAGAAGATAAGTCCTTAATTAAATGGCCAAGAATTACAGCATGTCTCTCTCTGTCTCTATCTCTTGTCTTTCCCTGGGAGTTTTTGTTGTTATTGTTTTGTTTTTGTTTTTGTTTTTGTTTTTGTTTTGGAGACAGAGTCTTGCTCTGTCCTTCAGGCTGGAGTGCAATGGCGTGATCTTGGCTCACTGCCACCTCCACCTCTAGGGTTCAAGCGATTCTTCTGCCTCAGCCTCCCAAGTAGCTGGGATTACAGGCATCTGCCACAACGCCTGGCTAGTTTTTTTGTATTTTTTTTTAGTAGAGATGGGGTTTCACCATGTTGGCCAGACTGGTCTGGAACTCCTGACCTCAAGTGATCTGCCTGCCTCAGCCTCCCAAAGTGTTGATATTACAGGTGTGAGCCACCGCGCCCGGCCTCTCCCTGTAAGTTCTACATGACTGTCTCTCCTCTATCAGAATCTCTCCTTCCTCTCTCTCTGTCTTTTGTTGTAGAGTGTTTTTTTTATTTTCCCTTTCTCTTTAGAATCTTTTTGTTGAAGGGAAAATATGGTAGGTAGTGTGAATGTAAAGCATGTAAGGCACCATGCGTAATGGGATTCCGAACTCTTTTTTTTTTTTCTTGAAACAAGGTCTCGCTTTGTCACTCAGGCTAGAGGTGCAGTGGCACAATCACAATTCACTGTAGCCTCAACCTCGACCTTCCAGGCTCAAGTGATCCTCCTGCCTCAGCCTCCTGAGTAGCTGGGACCACAGGCATGTACCACCACGCTAGGCTAATTTTTTATTTTTTGTAAAGATGGGGTCTCCCTATGTTGCCCAGGCTGGTCTTGAACTGTCTTACGCGATCTTCCTTCCTCAGCCACCCAAAGTGCTGGGATTACAGGTGTGAGCCATTGTGCCTGGCTGGAATTCCAAACTCAGTGAACAAAATTACTATAGTCTGAAAAATACCATGAGAAAAATCTCAGACATAGATATTTAGATATCCTATGTACCCGTTCTTGAAATAATTGTGTTTTGCCTGCTGCTGGTTCTAAAAGCATACCTGATTTTGCTTAGTAAAGCATTCCATTATTAATAAAGCAAAAACAAGAGTTATTCTATCTATATGCATGAAAGATCAAAGGATCAAAAACTGCACAGTAGCTAGTAATAGTCCTTACTAGAATTTTGCTTCTACCTACAGAAATACAGTCTATTTTTTTTTAAATGGTGTCTCTTTCTGCAAGGTGTACTGTGTTAGATCTATTAAGTATAATGAGATATCCCTATGGTTTTGAAGTTCCTTATAGTTCCATAGAGAAATATGACATATATAAATAATTATACCATATGGGAGAAAATAAGTGCCAGATGAGAAATATTGGAGTCCAAAAGGAGAAAAGTTATACTGCTAATGTGTATGTTACTGTAGAGTACTTAAAAATTTTTTCAGTATAATGACAATTGCATCTTGCTTTTAGGTATGATACTTTAAAGTCTACAAAATGTATTCACATCTTACTGTAGAGTACATTGCTTATGTGAAAGATACTTTATTAAAGAAGATTCTATTGTATACAAAAATAATCTTTTATTGGGACATCTATCAGGGTTTTTGATCTCACAAATAATATACTCTGATATACTCTTGAAAATTATATATCATACTCTTTAAAAATCACCAGTAAATAATTTTGAATTGGATGTTTAGATAAAAGTAAGTAAGAATAGTTAACAGATATAATAATTTTGTTAAATTTTACCTCTAATCTCAAAGCTGTTTAATTACTTATGTAACTCTTTTGAGAAATAATAAGAGAAATGAAAATATTGATAAGCCTGACATTTTGTTATGAAATTGAAGACTTATGTGTGGGTTTTTTTTTCTTTCCAAATTCCTTCATTTGTTAAGCATCTCATGACCAAATTTTAACCTCATACCTAAGTTTGCTACTAGAAATATAAACAAAAATGAAGTCATGAATTTGAATATTATGTTTTGCTGCTTTATAATAGCAATAGTAGGTATCTTCAGCTTTCTGCCTCTATCTGTACTAGACATTCCTGTTCATTGCTTTGATGGGCAGGAGGTACATATGATAGATGCTAGTGATTTTGTTTTCTTTTTTTCCTGAACCTCAGCCTTTTTCTTTCAAGATTCTTTAATTGGTTTGTGTCTGGTTTCATTTTCTCTAAAAATTCTTTAAAATACCCTACCTGTAAAAAAAATAAAAAAGAAATCTAAACAACTATAACATCAAAAGAAATCACATGGTCTTCTTTACCTTTCTTCTTCCTTATTTTTCTTATTATTCTTGTTTCATCACAAATAATAAGGAGTCAAATCCAGCTCCCTCTTATGTTTGGAATATGTTTCATTATGTTTGGAAGCACAAAATTTTTTTCAGAACTTACTTTGTGAAGCCTACTGATATTTTTCCACCAATGTGTATATTCTCCTTCTCCATCTCCATCACCATGCCCTAATATCTGTAGGATAGTAAGTAGGGCATTGATAAATTACCCCCATTTTTATATTGATAACCAGCTAATTTGGGCCCTAAAACTTAGTGACTTTCAAATACTTTGACAATTGTATAATATATGGTTATACAGGCTATTTAAAGAACCTCCTGTTGGTTGGTCTTTCTAAAACAGGAGGAATTTAATCATGCCTCTGTTGTTGTTGTTTTGATCCTGTTTATTTTTAAAATGTTATATTTTGGCACCTTAGAAAGTATATTTAAATTATTATAATAGAGATAAATATATAAGAACACACTTAACACTTTGAGAAGCCGAGGCGGGCGGATCACGAGGTCAGGAGATCGAGACCATCCTGACTAACACGGTGAAACTCCGTCTCTACTAAAAATACAAAAAATGTGGCAGGCACCTGTAGTCCCAGCTACTCGGGAGGCTGAGGCAGGAGAATGGCGTGAACCCAGGAGGCGGAGCTTGCAGTGAGCCGAGATAGCGCCACTGCACTCCAGCCTGGGTGACAGGGAGACTGTGTCTCAAAAAAAAAAAAAAAAAAAAAAAAGAACACACTTAAATTACTGTAATATATGTAAATATATGTAAATATTTCATTCAGCTATCACATATTTCAGGTGGAGTCATTATTAGTTATAATTGTCAACTTTATTTGTATTGTCTTGCTGGAGTTCCTAGAAATACTAAAGAAATGTTAAACAGTAGAGAGGAGATGGTGAAATATGATGGTGGGGTGGTAGGAATCATTTTATTGAGTAGATCCTAAAGCATACCTTGCCTGATTAATATAGTATACATTCTGTAAAATGTTTTTGTGAGATTTTCCAAAAACGAAATGTAAGGTATGAAGAAGATTTAAATTTTTTCAGAAAGAAAAAAATAAGAATAGGGTCACATTTCTGGTAACTTAATTGTTTTTTTGCTGAGGGGGAGCTGTTACTTGAATATCTTAAAATCCCTATTTCTTAAATTTTCCCAATACTCAAAGAATAATATTACCCAAAATTGAGGTTATTCCTATGAAATGAAGGTTAAAATGTTAATTCTTTTTATTTTAAAGAAGAGACCTTTTTTTACACTAAAGCAATCTTTTATTTATAGCATAATTTACTGTTTTTAAAGTTTTGTGGATAATTTGTATTTCTCTGCATCATTGGTGATTCCATTTCAGATCTGACCTCTCAATGATGGTTTTTATTCTCCCTGAAGAAGCAGATCAGTAGTGTTGATCAGTTTTCTAAGTAGACTTAGAGCGACTCTCCAATGGAAATATAATACAAACCACAAATATAAGCCACTTATGTAATTAAATGATTTCATAGTCGTATTTTTAAAAGTAAAAAAAAATTAATTTTAATAATTTATCTTAACCGTATATATCCAAAATATTATTTCAATATGTAATCAATATAAAATTATTAGATATTTTACATTTTTTGATACTAAGTCTTCCAGTGGTATTTTATACTCAACATGTCTCTATTTACATGGCACATCTGTGTTGAGACTAGCCACACATTTTGTGTTCAATAGCCATTTGTGGCTAGTGGCTGCTGTCTTGGGGCAGTGCAGATTCAGAGCATTGTTTTGGAATCACATCAAGGGATAGTTTGGGCTTATGGAAAGAATGCCTTCACCCTTTTTGAACAATGATGTTTCTGATGTGTACTTCATCTAAAAATAAACAGACAATTAGTAGCAACAATCTGTAATCTTGAAGACTGAAATACAAAGTATTAAAATTGGGTTGGAGAATTATCACTGTGATAAATAATATTTTAAAATCCCCAGTAGATTCTGTGTTTTAAATCTTTAAAATTCACTTAAATTTAGAAACTGGGGTTCAGAATAGTTTACTTTCTTCAGCCTGAACCTTGAATTATTATGACCAAATTTTATGTAACAAATTAGACTCATGAAGTTTAAATGAATTTGACTAGACAGCTACATCTAAATATTAGGCAAATATCTAAGCTTTTCTAGGCAATTTATTGTCATTGATTTTTTCCCCTTCTCTTGAGGTTGCCTACTCATTTCAGATTCCTTTAGTGTTGATAAATTCAATCTAATGGTGAAGTACAATCTGACTTGCTGCAGTTTAAATTATTTTCTTTCTCTCCTGTAGAAATGATTACTACTTGGTACTAGAACATAGAAGGAATCATAAATGTCATCCCAGTTCATTACTTTGGAATGGGGACAGTAGTAAATGGATCTGAAACGGAGATTGTTGGAGAACCATACTTTTTTAGAAACCCCGAATTTAATATAATAATATATTATTAAATTATAACCTGTACAAAAGTAAATTAGATTAAAAAGTTTGGAGGAACCCTGAGATATCATTTACTTTTAAAATTTTGTATTTTAATTGTGTTTATCCAGTGTCAGACTCTGGTTGTGATATAGCACCAAATATGACACAATTCTTGCCTTCAGTGGGCTTTTGCACTAGAGGAGATACCTACAGTAAAACAAGTCCCAGCAATTTAGTACAGTAGGCTCATGCCCCTTGGGCTCATGGATACAGCGTCTGAAATGAAGAGAAGGAAGAGGAAAGAGGAGATTCAGGACCAATCATGAGGGGCCTTCTGCTTTGTGAAAGAGGATGAACTTTATCCTGGGTGCAGTGGGGAGACTTGGGAGAGTTTGAAGCAAAGAAGTGACATGAATAGATTTTGTGCTTTTAAGAGACCGCTGTGATTGGTGTTGACATATGTATTGCCCTTGTCTATGGCCCAGAGTGGAAGCAGTCAGTAAGTTGTTAATTAGGCAAGGAGCAGTGAAGGCTTATATTCAGTAATGCCAGTGGGGCTAGAGAAATGTGGATACATTTAAGATATATTTAGAAGGTAACTGTTAAGATTTGGTGATTGATTTGTCTTGTAAGATGAGAGAGAGAGAGTGAAAGATTAAATTTGACTTGGGCATATATATATAGCACAGAAGAAAGAACAAGTTTTGTTAGGTCATAGATATTTAGCTCCCTGCCTTTAAGAAGAAAACTATGAGAAGTCAATTAAAATCCCCCAAAACACGTTTAGTTAGGCTAGCATTTATTGGTTATTTGCTATATTTAATATATAGTAGAGAGCATTTAGAATTAAAAGAATAAAATAGACATAGTTCTTTAGTTAGCATATCTCTCCAGATGAAAAAGACAGGCATATATAAAATAATTTTTAGTACAAATTAGATAGTGATAAGTGCTATATCTTATATAGTAAGATATAAACAAAATTAAATTAATTCTGACTGGGGGAGATGGGATTGCAAATGACTTTACAGAATAAGTGATTTTTAAGCTGTATCTTAAGGGATGCAGGAGAGTCTAACAGACCTCCCACATTTATGTCTCTAGCCTGTGCATTTCTCCTGATATCTGACTCCCTCCTCGACATCTCCATTTGAATATATAAACTGTATCTTAAATTTAACATGTTCAAAACTAAATTCCTGATCTTCATTTCTTCAAAGCTATTCTTACAGTCTTCCCCCTATCGTAAATGGTTTCCTATTTGAGTATAAGCTGAAATCTTTGCAACGTAAGACCCTACACTACCTAACTCCTTTCCAAAATCCTATTACATCTTGAGCTCTTCTGTTTGCCACCCCGTTCACTCTGTTCTAGCTAAACAGGGTCTGCTTGGTGTCCTTCAAGTACTTCTGACCTCAGCACCTTTGATTTTCCTTTTCCTTTCACCTGAGGCATTTGTTTTAGTTATCTTTAAGAACTCATTCTTCATGCCTTTCAGGTTTTTGCTCAAATGTCACCTTTTCAGTAAGGCCTTCTCTCTCCTCCCTATTTAAAATTGCCCCCATCACCTCATGCACTTTTACTTACTCCCTGACTTCATATTTCTTTATGTCACTCACCATCTGACATACTTATCTCATGCTTATTGATTTGTTTATTATGTCATATCCCACTTGACCATTAGCTCCATGAGATCCTAAATTTTTGACTGTTTTCCTCATTGGTTTATCCCTACAATCTACAAAGGTGTTTGGAGCATGGTAGGCACTAAATTAAATATGTATTGAATTAATAATGTGATGAAATGAGGAAGAGGGTTCTGAGCAAGGGAAGTGACATGAACAAAGCTCAGAAAAGACGTTTGGCACATTGCTTATTGATCTGTTAATTGGTCTTATGTTTCGGGTGTGTAGAAAACATAGAAACAGAGATTCTGAAAGGCAGTTGAGTCTAATATGAAGGCCTTTGGTAACAGTCTAAAAATGCTTGAGTTAATTATATAAGCCAGTTCAGCAAGTAATAGCCAGATAATAGATATGATTGACTTTGCAATCTGCCTGATCTGTGTCACAGCTATTAAAGATATGCAAACAAATGAGCATTTGGTTGACTGTAAGGGACAGGAGGCATAAAGCTTTTCTAAGAGTTAGTGAAAGAGCCTGGGAAAAATAGCGAGGTAGTTTGAGGAGAAAATGGAGAGTGTATGCTTATTCTAGCCAGAAGGGCACAGCCAAACTCAAATGGATATATGCCTGATATGAAGTGGGACTACTAACATCTCATTTTTTAGGATGAGATTTTATGTCCACAAGAGAACTGGTAGCTGGATGTCAGATGCTGACCACAAGTTGTTAATGATTCAATTTTCTACATTTTATTACTGTGATAGCTTTGCGAACATGGACATACCATCACTGGTCATATCTTGGATTTTTCACTTAAAAACCTATTTTATAATTTAATGTGCATCATTAGTGGTGAGTGTATTAAGTTATGAAGTTAGTAGGGTCAGTAAAGTATATTCTATATTTACAGTTAAGTAAATAGAATGCAATTAAGTCCTAAGAGATACTAAATATTATTTTAAAAATAAATGACTATGCAGTAATATTATATGAACTCATATATAATTTAATATTTAACCCTTAAAAAGTTTTAAATTACATATGCATGTTAAATAATAATATACAGTAGAGGTGATCATAGAATAGTTTTGTGGCTTGTGAGATTTGTAAAACATGAGACCTTTGACTTCCCTTTACTACCTCAGAAATCCCAGAGGTCTGCAATCTGAAGATAAATTAGGTTTCTTCTTTCCCTAGCAGCACATCTTCTACCATGTTAATACATTCCATGGATGCTGATATCATCAACATTAGGCCCGTTTATAAGAAAATGCTTAGCTACAGTTAATAGAACATAATTGATGGCAATGTATTTCTTAATGTATTTATTTTTTAAAAAACTTAAACTTCGATGATTTAGTAATTTTATTTTCTTAGTAAAAAAAATCTGCATCCGGTTCTCAGACACCATTTTAATAATTTAGAGTTTTAAAAAATGCTGAAAGAAAGTAAAATTAAAATCTTATCCTTATTCATGCATTTGCACATTTTCAACTTAAGTGCTCATTCCTTTCTCCTTCCTATCTTCCCTCCTTCCTTCTGTTTTTTGCCAGCCTCTCTTCTTTTTCATCAGTGAGCTCAAGCTTTCTCAAATATGTCTGTTTATCCTTGCTTTTTATACGTAACTTATAGATAACTTGCGATTTGTTAATTTAGCCACATCTCTTTAGCCCTTTTCTTCAAGTATCAGTAGGTTAAATGATGAAACTTTGTGCTAATTAAGTATTGAAGTTTGTACTCGTGTCTACAATGAACTACATTTTGCTCATTGATAAAAATTACTTGAAACCCTGAATATTTTTCTTCTCATGCTATTTACATACTATACAGGAAAATTAAAAACCTATTAAGGCATTTGGAAAATATTCATGTCTTCCAGAATTATAAAAATGCATGCATATGTCAAGTGTGATTTGTTTTTTGACTGGTGATCTTATCATATTTTTTGTTCAACTAGAAAATGTAGACTGTTCATTAATGCGTTCTTAGATACTGAGATAAGTGGTTCTTCTCCCATACTAAATATATGTCTACCACTTATTCCAGAAATTTTATTTGCATCTTCTCTTACGGCAGTTACAGCTCACTTTTTGTTTGCATTATTATTGCCCATTATTTCTTTCCAAATTATAATTTATTTGGAGATAAGGGTCTAGAACAGCAAAAGGCCCAATGGAGATGTCCATTTCAAACATGGAAGTGAAAAATGTGTTGAAAGCAAGAAAGAACCATAAATTATTGGGGATATTTATCATAATATGAAGCATGTTAAACCCTACTGTCATTGCTAATAAAAAAAATAATATATTTGTTTTGAATGTCATAGTTATTTGGCAGGAAGTATTAAGTCTCAAATATTTTTGTGGGCATATATATTTTTGAAAGTAAGTTTTGTTAAGTATTCTTAGAGTTATGTTAAATGCTTTTATAAATGGGCATAATTCAGTGAATGACCTATTGGCTTTAGGATTTAGGCAAGTTGAGTCTGTAATTTGGGATTTTTATCATGAATCCTACTAATGATAATAATATCTTATGTATATATAGAATTCCGCATTATCCCATATGAGCCTCACAGCAAACCCTGTGATTTTGAAATGGCAATTGAGGTGAGTAAGGGTCACAGAAATTAAATTAATTTGAGTACATGTGACAGTAAGTTGAGTAGACAAGACTTAAACCCAATTATTTTTTCTACTATATCAGATTGAAATAGATTATCATTTATCTATTGATTTGTAATCCATGATTTTTCTTTATTGTAATGCATTTGAAATAACAGTTTTATAATATCTAAAAACCACATAATATTTATGGGGTTGGTCTGGAAGGATTATAGATTATTTTTTCTTTTCCAATTTTGAAAATGATTGTTTTTCTTTTACTGTAGGAAAAAACAGCATTTTATCTACCAAATTAGGACAAACTAAATTTAAATATCAACTTGAAAGCTTTCAGATATGCAGTTGATTTAAAATAACTATTATAAATGCAATTCAATGTTCTTGATCTCTAGTGAATTTTTTAAAAGTTTTATTATGGGCTAACAAAATAAATCTTGAAAATTAAAATGTATCAAAACATGCACATTATATTTTTATAATATATTGTTAATCAGCTCTTTTTTGTTAATTAAGAAAGCTTATTTTCAATTTTTTAAATCATTTTTTCAGTGGTGAAAAGCTAAAATTTTGCTTTCACATTTTTTTACCATCAGTGTCCCTAAGCAGTGCACCTTAAATTAGTTAACTTCTAATTTATCATGCTTCTATTTGAGTTGTCAATATTTCATATTTAGGAAAAATGAAATAAATATTTAATTTTAACTAAAAAGGAGCTTCTTCATTTTTATTTCTATTTTGATTATCTTGTTTCTTTTTGGTTGATAGATTAGTAGTTGGTATGTTTGCCCCAATATATTGAAGTGGTGGGTTTAGTTCAGTGCATAGAATTGGTGACTATTAAAAGGAGAATCATACAGCCTGGCTGCAAAGGTTGTTCATATCAGTGGAAATTATACCTTAATAAAGAAAACTAAAGCATATGTGTGGTCACAACCAATCCTTGTCATTATGCCATGAAAGCCTTGGGATTTGTGATCAAAGCAATGAGCTTATCCTGAACTGTGGTGTAACCTCTGGTTGAACCTTTCAAATTTTTATCTTAGGAGATGATACACTAAATGTTGGCCATGTTACCTGCCTCTAAGACCCATCTACCTAATTAAGTGATAGAGATTAAAATTATTTTGAGCAAGCCAGAAGAAAACGTGAATTGTAAATGTATCTGTCTTCTGTCAGTGTTGTTTACTTATCATTTTCCACTGATGTTTTAAAGAATTGCTGAACATGTGTTTTTTATCCAGAGCTGACTGTTCTGTTCTGATGAATATAAAACATACTTCACTTTGTAAATGTGCATTAAAAGTATTAGAAAGGCATAATCTTTGACTCTGTTACTACATTTCATCTGTCAAAAGAGATAATTTTGAACTGTAATATTTGGTATTGTATCAAGATATGGTTCTTAGAAAGATGCTTTTAGTATTAAAATGGAATTCTACTGTATAACTTAAATGCCATTGTCATCCACAGTAAGATTTTGGCTGTATTATGCTTATTTATTTTGTTACATATTGGTATATATCAGTTGAGTTCAGCATGTTTATTTCGTATTAAGAGAGTATTGCACTCTCATCACCGACTTATTCATGCAGATTTTCTTGTGATGAGACTGCAATATAGTTTAAGTACAGCATGTCCTCAAATAACGTCATTTCATTCAATGTTTTGTTATATCGCTGGTGAGAAAAAAAACATCAATTCATGGCCGGGGCCACTTTCTGTGTGGTGTTTGCATGTTCTTCCCATGTCTGTGTGGGCTTTTTCCAGGTACTCTGGTTTCTTCCCACATCCCAAAGATGTGCACATAAGGTGAACTGGTGTGTCTACCTGGTACCCATCTGACTCTGTGTGTGTGTGTGTGTGTGCGTGTGTGCACGCGCGCACGTGCTCCCTGCTATGGGATGGCACCTGGTGTCCTGTCCAAGGCACCATGGTTTCCTCACTTGTGCCCTGAGTTGGCGCAGTAGGTGTTAGGCCACCTGCAACCCTGAAGTGGAATAAATGGGTAAATAATTATCTTATTTTTGTTAATCTTTCTTAGATGTACATATAGCTCACATTTATTTCAATATTTAATAGTAGAAGTGTTTTGGGTCTCTTTTTAGAAGTTTGGTGATGTTTTTGTGGCAACCAAAATATGCCGTGGGAACTTAACTCATTTATATCAATTAGCCTGTGGTAAAATTGGTTTTGTTATATGCCATTTTACATAAAGTTGCAATTTTCAAGACCCTATCGATGACAGTAGGTGAGGATTTGCTGTATATATGCTCGCTCTCTTATTTAATTGTGCTAATTTGATGTTGTTCTTCATACTATATGTAAAATCTTAATAATCTCTCTCCTCACTATTAGTTTCTTAGAAATGCTTGTCATACTTTAAATTCACATGTAAAGTCCTCAATTTCATGGATCCTTCCATTTAGAGGGAGATAGAAACAAACAAGCAGTTATAATACAGATTGATGAGTTCTGTGTTAGCGAAATACAATGTATTACAATCTTTTCCCTAAAGCTTTCTCTGGCCACCCCAACTTTTAGTCATAATTTTCTTATTTGAACTTCTGGAGTGCTAGTTGTTTTCACAACGTATTTTCTCCTAAAAATATATTCTTTCTCTATTACTGATTTAGATCTGTATTCTCGGGCGGTGGGGGGGACTCATTTTATGTATCCCAGACCCTAAAACAGTTCTCTCTAAAGAGTAAGAACTAACCTACAGGGGCGTCCCCTAAGGGGACGGAGCCCACGTGTGCCGTGGCGCTGAGAAATCTCTGCCTGGTGCTGGAGCTGCTGTGCGGGGCGTGCAGTGGTGCTGGGTCGGGCCAAGGGGCTGCCCACCCGGAGCTGGGATGCCAGAAGGGCTGTTGGTGAGGACATTTCACCATTCGGTCTCTCCTTTTGTGGGCAAGCAGGTGGTAAAGACAGGGAGCAACAGTAAGAAGTATAGCCCACCAGCCTCCAGTCTCTGTGGCTCCAGGACACCCAGGTCCATGGAAAGAAATTATTCCTTAGATTTGATCCAGATGAAGAAATGGGGCCCGCTGGCAACAGCTCACCGCCAGAGCCTCCACAAAAAGAAGCGCAGAAGGAAGGGACTGTGGACTCAAAGCAGGCCCGGGAGCAAGTGGGCAGAAGACCCTTGACGCCTCCTCACAGTCCGCAGAGCTCGTCCCCCAGGGAGAGGATGATTAGGAATGTTTGAAGGGAGACACCCCTACAGGAGATGCTGGGAGGCGGCTGCGTGTCAGCTCTTGTTTGCTTGGCAGCGTTTGGGTGAACGACTTCTCCAGAGCCAAGAAAGCCAACAAGAAGGGGGACCGGAGGGACCCTGCCCCGAGGTTGGTCCTGTACTTTGGTGGTGGTAGCTTCCTGGCACTTTATAATTGTCAGATGCCTTGGAGCTCTTCCCCAGAGGTCACACCCACCTGTGACATCCTGTCTGAGAAGTTCCATTGAGGACAAGCCTTGGAAGCTCTAGGCCAGGCTCAGCCTGTCACTTATACACCATTGGACCAGAAATACTTCTCAGGGCTAGGGAACGTCATTAAGAATGAAGTCTTGTACAGAGCTGGCATCCATCCCCTTTCTCTTGGTTCAGTCCTGAGTGCCTCCATGTTAGGAGGCCCTGGTGGATCACGTGGTGGAGTTCAGTACAGCCTGGCTGCAGGGCAAGTTCCAGGGCAAACCGCAGCACATGCAGGTCTACCAGAAAGAACAGTGCCCAGCTGGCCACCAGGTCATGAAGAAGCCCTTTGGGCCCTCAGGTGGGTTCCAGAGGCTCACCTGGTGGTGCCCACAGTGCCAGTCTCAGTTGTTAGAGGAGCCGGAGCAGTGCCAGTTCTTCTAAGGAACTCAGGGTGCTCTTCATGGAACCTTGTCCCTTGGGGAACCTGATGTCTAAGTGTCCAGAGAGGAGGATGTGGTCAGGGACGGGGTGCAGAGGATAGTGTGGGTCAGGAGTGCCAGTATTATAATGTTCATCTCCCTGGAGTTATGTTGAAGGCAGAGTTTTCATAGGGTTAGATTTTTTGTTGTTGTTGTTCTTCCTTTTCTAGTTGTTAATTCTTCCTATTGAATTGCACCATTGTGAAAGATGAGAAAAGTCACAATGATGGGTAAGGGGAAAACCTTCTGGAAGTCAATGGGGCAAGGAAAAAGAAAGCCTATGGGAAACAGTTGTGCTCCCAACATGGCTTTGCAGATGATGGGGGGTTTTTTGGGTTTTTGTTTTGAGACAAGGTCTAACTCTGTTTCCTAGGCTAGGGTGCCAGTGGCATGAACTCGGCTCACTGCAGCCTTGCCCTCCCAGGCTCAAGCAGTCCTCACCTCACCCTCCAGAGTAGCTGGGACTACAGACATATGCCATGATGCCCGACTGATTTTTGTTTACTTTTTTTGTAGAGATGGGGTCTTGCCATGTTGGCCAAGCTGGTCTTGAACTCCTGCACTCAATCAGTCCTCCCACCTTGGCCTCCCAAAATGTTGGGACCACAGGTGTGAGCCAGTGCACCCAGCCAGCTCCTGTGTTTTGTTTTTGTTCTGGAACTTTGGTTGATTTTAAGGCCCTCCATTTTGAAAGCAGGAAAAGTCATTTTTTTTCCCCCTTATTTCCCTGGAGGATCCAGGGATGAGAATAGAGTGGCCTGAAAGCAGTGCTTGGATTCAGCCTCCTGCCAGGTCCTTCCTGCTGGACACAGACACCAAGACGCTGGGGTGGAGCAGAGAGCTGCACCTTCCTGGGGTGCTCAGTGGTCTGTAGAGAAAAGCTGCTTGTTTACTCCTTAAGTCAATGTATTTGTGACTATTGCTGTTGATATGTTGAACAATTCAGGAATCAAGGGCTATGGAGAAACTCCTTCAAGTTGTTGGCAACAGGTAGATGAAGCTAGGACAGTGACGTGAAACTGAAGCTCTCTGTTAAACAAACAAAAAAAGAATAAGAACTAAATAAATGTGGTTTCTTTTTTGTGATAATGATGTGCTACATCACCCTTCATTTCTACCTAAGGTTTAAATCAAATAATTAAGAGGTGTTCTTATGAGTTTTATTATTTTAATAAGAAATAACATTTACATTCTATTTGTATTTCTGTCCATACTGAATTCTTCCTGCATTTTGTGTATGTGTATATATGTATATATAAATATATACATAAAATGACATATATTTATATGTTATACTTTATATATATAATATATGTATAAGTATATATTTATATTATATATATAAAATATGTATGATATATGTATATATTTATATTATATATGTGTATAATATATACTTTATATATTATATATGTTTTATATATTATCTATGTATTATATATACTTTATATATAATATAATGTATATTATATATACTTTATATATATTATAATGTATATTATATATACTTTATATATATTATAATGTATATTATATATACTTTATATATATTATAATGTATATTATATATACTTTATATATATTATAATGTATATTATATATACTTTATATATATTATAATGTATATTATATATACTTTATATATATTATAATGTATATTATATATACTTTATATATATTATAATGTGTATTATATATACTTTATATATATTATAATGTGTATTATATATACTTTATATATATTATAATGTGTATTATATATACTTTATATATATTATAATGTGTATTATATATACTTTATATATATTATAATGTGTATTATATATACTTTATATATATTATAATGTGTATTATATATACTTTATATATATTATAATGTGTATTATATATACTTTATATATATTATAATGTGTATTATATATACTTTATATATATTATAATGTGTATTATATATACTTTATATATATTATAATGTGTATTATATATACTTTATATATATTATAATGTGTATTATATATACTTTATATATATTATAATGTGTATTATATATACTTTATATATATTATAATGTGTATTATATATACTTTATATATATTATAATGTGTATTATATATACTTTATATATATTATAATGTGTATTATATATACTTTATATATTATATATGTATTATATATACTTTATATATACTATAATGTGTATTATATATACTTTATATATACTATAATGTGTATTATATATACTTTATACTATAATGTGTATTATATATACTTTATACTATAATGTGCATTATATATACTTTATACTATAATGTGTATTATATATATACTTTATATATATACCATATATGTATAATATATATGTATTTTTTTTGAGACAGGGTCTCACTCTGTCACCCAGGCTGGAGTGCAGTAGTGTGAACACAGCTCACTGCAGCCTCCTGGGCTCACAGTCTTCCCACATCAATCTCTCGAATAGCTGGGACTACAGGCACAGGTGCATGCCACCATACCTGGCTAAATTTTTTAATTTTTTTGTAGAGACGGGTCTTGCCATGTTGCTCAGGCTGGTCTTGAACTCCTGGAAACAAGCCATCCTTCTGCCTCGGCCTCCCAAAGTGCTGGGATTACAGGCCTTAGCCACGGTGCCTGGGCTAGACATATATTATCATGGCTGGGCTTGGTGGCTCATTCCTGTAATCCCAGCACTTTGGGAGGCCGAGGCAGGCAGATCACCTGAGGTCAGGAGTTTGAGACTAGCCTGGCCAACATGCTGAAACCCCGTCTCTACTAAAAATACAAAAATTAACCTGGTATGGTTACAGGCGCCTATAATCTCAGCTACTAAGGAAGCTGAGGCATGAGAATCGCTTGAACTCAGGAGGCAGAGGTTGCAGTGAGCCAAGATCGCGCCACTGCACTCCAGCCTGGGTGACATAGTAAGACTTCATCTCAAAAAAAAAAAAAAAAAAAAAAGATATTATCAGTGAATATATTGCTAACTTTTTACCATTATTGACATAGGTATAAAATTATAACCACCAACTCAAGTGTACAAGAAATATCCTAATTTGAACTTAGCCCTTCTTCATATTAGGCTGTTGAAAAATTCCTTCATAGTTATTAGATTGGTAGGGCAGGGACCTTCTTTTCTCAAGGCTTGAATGAGAGTCCAGGCTTGTGTGATACCTAGAAAACTAGCCTTCACATCTTTAGTCCATCGTTTTCTTCATTAGTCATATCTTTATTGTCTAAGATACATATGGTCTTTCGAAGGCAGGCAGCTCTGATGATTATACCAAGTTACTGTTAGAAAATATTTGCTGATGCCAAAAACCATGGTGCCAAGGGACTAGCTTCCCTATGTGCACCATGCATGGGGCCACTATGTACAGTAGGCAGATTGTTCTTCATGAAAGGGCACTTGATTGAGAGAAAGAACGGAAGCTAAAATCCAGCCTGTACTTACTCCATTTACCAAACTGAATTCTCTTAGGACTGCATTAGCCTAGCAGTGTTACCTTTCTTCTATTTCACATAGAGGCACTGTATGGGCATATAGTGACCCGCTCACCATTCCCCATCCTCTGGGTTCCTGCCTAACCTCTTAATCCCTTCTCCTTTCCCCCAGGCTGGGGAAAAAAAAAATGCTGACTGTAGATTTTGAGAACTTGCTTCCCTACTCTTGGAAAAAATTTATGCCTGTTTGGCTTCTCTCTCTTTAAAAATACTAACATTTGACTCCTCCTTCACCTAGATACCTCATATACTCTCTGTTTGCTTAGAGATTCACACAAGACAGAAAAGAAAGATGCCTTCAAGAGGCCTCTGCTCTGGACCCTGCAAATGTTCTTGAGAAAGGAAATGCCTGTCTGCTCTCTTAAAATTAAAGGTGAAGGGAGTGAGAGGTGAAAAAATAGAGTAAAACACAAATACATATCTTGATAAATTTCAAGTGAAATGTTGAAAGCTAATTTTTAATTTTTACTGTTTAAATTTTTAATTTTGAAATATGTTTACAATGCCCATTGTACAAAATTTACATAAAATGTTTCCTTAGGAAATCACAAAATCCATAGTAATTAAATGGAAACTGATGGTTATTACCTTCTTCCCAGCATGATAGATATTATGTAGCTGAAAGACTTAAAAGTTTGAAATTGCTTTCTTCATATCACTTATTTAAAAATTCTTGTTTGTTTTATGGGTGGTTTTGCTCCATTTAATTTCTAGTTTAACTAATTGAATTTATATTTAGGTTAAGGTGTCAATATTAAAGTAACATAATAATTCATAATAAATGTGTATTTAAAAATAAATTGGGCCAGGAATAAAATATATTTTGGGGAGGATTGCTTGAAGCCAAGAGTTTGAGACTAGCCTGGGCAACATAGCCAGACCCTGTCACTGCAAAAAATTAAAAAATTAGCCAGGCATGGTAGTGTATTCCTATAGTCCTAGCCACTTGGGAGGCTAAGGTGGAAAGATCGATTAAAGTTTGAGGTTACGGTGAACTATGATTGTGCCACTACTGTACTCCAACCTGGGTGACAGAGTGGGACCCTGTCTCTTAACCAAAAAAAAAAAAAACAAAAAACCAAAAAAACTTGTGGAGAATATTTGTTTTGAGCAAATAAATTTTTTGTCAATTTGTTGAGTAACCTGAATGAAATAACAGATGTAGAAGATACAGACAAATATACAAAATCATAATATTTTGACACTATATATTAGAAGGATTGAAAACTTCATTTTTGTAACAATTGCTATGAAATGTCATTTGTTCCATTCTGCTTCCTCAAATTGGTGTTGGTAAGAGTACTTTTTAGGTATATTTTTACTATGCATTTAGGTATATTTTATTATGCATCTCTAATTTACAATGGAAATGATGCATCTCTCAAATTTTAAAACTCAGGGGAAAACTAGCACTTAAAATTCATCCATTATAATTATTGCTTTGAATCTAGGAGAATTATAAAACAAGAGCATGGTAGGTATAACCAGCAAAAGAAGGACACTATCTTCTAATCATGATAGAGTGTGAATTGGGGGTGGAAGTGGGCAGCGGGTATTACTGAAATGAGAATAATTAGTATTTAATTAAGCAAATGCTGCTTTTGATTGTCAATGAACAAGGAAAGCATGTTCCTCCCTCTTTATTGTGAAACAAGGCCTGGGAATAGTAACATTCATCTTCAGTAGCACAAGTATTATGAAGTGAAAATAACATATTTTGGTAAAATTTGTCAAAGCTGGAAATTAATTGAATACACACTTGGGCAAATTAATACTAGAAAATTATATAGTGATTTATTGGGATAAATCACATTACAAAAATTCTTTTTCAATTATTTATATAACAATTGCTGTATAGAGAGAGATAAATATATATATATGAAAGATATATGTATTCAGGATAGCCAGTTGTTTTCTCATCATGAAAATGCTAAAAGTTTAGAGTTTCTTTTCCTTTTTTAAAAATCACTTTGTATATAAGTTAAAAACTTATACTTAAAATGTTTAGCACTGCATATACTGTGTAGGTAGAACCCAGGCTTATTTGATGACTGAGGACACAGGCTTTACAGTTAAACAAGTCCTGGTCCAACTTCCATATTTTGTCCAACTGGTAACGTTGGACAAAGCACTTTTTTGAGCCTTAGTTCATTTTTTAAGTAGAAATGATTGATACTTTACCTTGTAAAGTGGTTGTGAGATTAAATGTAATAAGGTTTATTAAGAGTTTATTTATTTATGGTATGAGAGTATGACTCATACCATGCAATAAGTGTTAGCTCAGACAAATTGGATATGGCTTTTTGCTTCATAAAATAACACACACCTGTGTTTTCCTCTTTTGTCAATTAGAATTATATACATTGTTTTTGAAGATGAGAATCTTAAAATTTTTGTGTGATTATAATCTAATTTTATTTATAGCTAAGCTTTAAATAAGGTCTTTTTTTTTTTTTAATTGTTCAGTTAAAATGCTTTTTAAGTCTAATGGTCAGGTGGTTGTCAGCCATTTGGAAGAACAAGCTCGTTTCTACCCTGCTTAGTTAATTAATGTGATTGTAAACAAAGGATGTACAATTCAAAGTCAGGCAACATTTCACATGGATCATGGAGGTGATAATAGCTTAATTCCTGCTGGATTTTTTTTCTCTGCTCTGGCAAGTTCATACTGACCTTGTCCAAAATCTGATGACCTCCCTATTTTACTCAACTGTTTGGAAAGCCGGGCCTGCCATTGCTGGCCCTGAGGGGATATCTGAAAGACCACTGAACCACTGACCCATGTCAAGACTGGATTTCAAGTCTGATCTACAGAGCCTCTGAAATAGTTATATATGGGGTTTATTACACACAAAAGGCTAAGCAGCTGCATTTTTCTGCTTATTAAATGTCATTATTAAAGTTACATATTGAATTTACTCAGTTTCTCATGCAAGTCATTTTCTAGACTAATTTTAAATTTTGATCTTCTATCAGAGTTGGTATCTTTAAACTTGACCGTTTTGAAATGTGAGGAAAAGGTACTGAGAAACCATGGCTAAACTGTAATAAATTATCTTCCTGGTTGATGAAGAGACCAAGACATTGGCATTTTAATGCTTAGAAAGATTTTGGGTTTTTCTGGCAAAAATTCAATATACCTCATAAAAAATCTAGTTAGGTTGTCATTATTGTTATAGCATGGTAATTTATGTTTATATCTTGTCAAACCTCAGTTATTACTAAAATATTTGTATTTAAGAGTTTTGAGGTTATGAGACATGTCATGAAGGAAAGCCTATGAAAGTTATTTATACCAGTAAGATCTTATTTAAGTTGGGTTAGATAGGATCTGTCTATCTTATGAGAAACTGTGACAGGGCTATGATATGCAAAGAAAAAAAAATTCCCTGTGTTTATTTTGTTCTTCTGAACAATAGAAAATGATCAGGTCCTTTTTTTGAATATCTAGTCAGTATCCTACAGTTTATAATATCACATTGTCTTTTATTTTTATATAGGAGTTGATCCCTGAATTTTATTATCTCCCTGAGATGTTTGTCAACTTCAATAATTATAATCTTGGAGTGATGGATGATGGGACAGTAGTGTCTGATGTCGAACTTCCTCCTTGGGCCAAAACCTCAGAAGAATTTGTTCACATAAACAGATTGGTAAGATAATAATCATCTACTCTGTCTGTCATGAGCTTTTGCTCAAAGCATCTTTCATGTGTTGGTGTATAATCATTAACCCTTGCTCTTCTGGACAAAGCTGTAGGTGATAGGACTAACTGAAAGTGACATAATAGCTCAAGAATCCTTGTATATACTTTATGAAATGTTATTGAATTGATATATAAAGTAATAGTTTCTTTTATGCAGAAGTTAAGTTACATTCATATATACATGATGATTCAAAATTTTAAGCGAAAGTTAGAAGTGAAATTGGGATTGTAAGTTTTTCCAAATATGAGCTTCTCTTTCCAGGAAAGGAACATAATTTTGTGTTCCAGGTTAGAAGGCCATTGCACATTTTCATAATAGAAACAAGATTTTCAAATTATGTCCTGTATCTATCATTTGAAGGAAATCTTCGTGTAATATTGAGAATATGAAAATGTTAAAACTTAAAAGCACATTGAATTTGTGCTTACAAACAACTCTTTAGTATCCTCTTTAGTGGATTCTTTAGTGTCCTTCATTATCTGGGTTCAGTATTATTTTCGAGACACTAATATGACTTTTCCTTTTTGCCTTTTAAGTTTCACAGAAGTTTGGAATCAGGGAGCTTTATTCTTAGTATTTAAAAGTAGAATCTTGGCCGGGTGCGGTGGCTCGCACCTGTAATCCCAGCACTTTGGGAGGCCAAGGTGGGTGGATTACCTGAGGTCAGGAGTTCGAGACCAGCCTGCCCAACATGGTGAAACCCCACTGCTATTAAAAATACAAAAATTAGCCGGATGTGGTGGCAGGCGCCTGTAATCCCAGCTACTTGGGAGGCTGAGGCAGGAGAATCGCTTGAACCTGGGAGGCAGAGGTTGCAGTGAGCTGATATCATGCCATTGTACTCCAGCCTGGGTGACACAGTGAAACTCTGTCTCGAAAAAATAAAAAATAAAATAAATTTAAAAAATAAAAGTAGAATGTTTACCACACTCTACATTAAAAGTGAAATCTCAGTTGCATTGTTTTTACTTCACATGTAAAAAAGGAAAATTATTGCATTTTTTTAATGTGGCATTCCTTTCTTTTCATACCAACAATTAATCCTATCTTCCAGATCCTATTACAGTCTCATTATTATTGAAATTTTGCATTCTATATATACTGGAAACAATGCAGGGGAGTGGAAAGAATATGTAAGCTTTGGAATCTGACCAGATTTTCCAATCCTTTATCAATCACATTGCTGATTGTGGGACCTTAGCAGTTTAACCTTTCTGAGCTTTGGTTTTTTCATTTGTAATTTTGAAATTATGAGTAAACAATTGTAATTATGTATGTAAATGCCTAGAATATTATCTGGCTTATAGTAGGCACTCAGAAAATAGTAAATAATATTATTCTATCACAGTCTTATGGAACATGTTGCATTTTACTTTTACCCCAAGAATTTTTAAAGATTCTCACAAAGTTTCTGTGATTGAGAGATGAAGACTAAACTTGCTCTGAAAGATACTGAAGGAAATGTCAAACCTTTAAATGCGGCAGGTGTCTATGGTCGTGTGTGGTTTTTTTTCCCCAGGGATACACAAAAGTGAATAGAAGTTACATTCATACTACAACTTTTTTCTTTCAGTGATTTTTCTTTTAAAACAAATTCATTGAGGTACAATCTATATATAATAAAATTCAACTTCTTAAAGTATGCAATTCAAGGAGTTTAGTAAGTGTATACAGTTATGTAACTGCCACTACATTCCAGCTTTAGAACACTCACGAGTACAAAAAGTTTCCTTGGGCCTCTTTATAGTCAGCCTCTGCTTCCACTGCCGGCTCCAGGCAATCACTGATTCTGTCTCTGTTTTGCTTTTCTAGAAATTTTATATTAATGGAATCATACAATATGTAGTCTTTTTATGCCTGTCTTCTTTCAGTTAGCATGATGTTTTTTGAGATTCATCCATGTTGTGCATATATCAGTAGTTAATTTCTTTGTATTGCTGTATAGTATTCCATTTTATAGATATATCACATTTTAAAATCTCTTTACTAGTTAATGGACTTTTTTTTCTAGTTTGGGCTATTATAAATATTTGCGTATAAGTCTTGGTGTGGACATCTGTTTTTATTTCTCTTGGGTAGATTTCTGGGAATTCCTGGGTCATATAATAAAAATGTTTACCATTTTGTATTCCTACAATGTATGAAGTTTCAGTTTTTCCCTATCCTTAACAAGACTTGGTATTGTCAGTCTTATTTATTTTAGCCATTCTAGTAGGTAGGTCATTGTTATTTTAATTTGCATTATCCTAATGATGAAAATGTTAACCATCTTTTCACCGACTTATTTGCTACTCATATATATATATATTTTCTTTGGTGAAGTATCCATTCAAATATTTTGCCTGTTTTTAAATTGGGTTGTCTTTTTATTAGTGAATTGTAAGAGATCTTTGTGTATTCTCCATAAAAGTCATTTATCCAACATATATTTTGAAAATATTTTTTAACTAGCCTTTTTTTATTTTTTAATGGTGTCTTTTGAATCACGATTTAAAAAATGTTTTAACTAAATATTAGATATTAAATATTTATACAATATATAAAAGATACAAAATATCCTCATTATTGGTGAATATACTTTTAAGAAAAAATCATGTTCTGATCATTTTTTTATTGACACACTTTTTCTCAAATATGACTTGAAATTTTAAGTCTCAAGGGAATCGGTTTTCTGTTAATCATTACCATAGTTAGTATTATTAATAATATAAAGAAGTTTGTTAGTATGTTTACTTCACTTTAAAGGAGCTCTAAAAGGCAGAAACATTTGAATAAGTTATATATTAAGTTTTTCACCAACATTTTGACAATTAAAAAATTTAATTACATAAGTTAAGGCAAGCCGCTCTCTTGACAGTACCTCCCATCTCTACCCTCACTGCCTTCACCTCAGAAGAGCCAGGTCTATTTGGGACAGGTTTACAAGGGCACTAAGGAAAAGAAGATTGTGGTTTACGTAATTGCTTTACAAGTAGATTTGGATTTTGGCTACCCACGCTCTAAACTTGGGCATGATTGTAAAGTTATATACCAAATAATATTTTGCAGTATTAACTGTGCATTTGTTATAACATTATTATTGAGTTTACTTAATATTTTTCCCAGTGATTCCTACTGCTTGAGTTTTATAGATGTCTTCATTGTTTAGACTCTGAATTAGCTTACATTCCTAAACAGAACTGTATATAAAATCACTGCAATTCAAATGCAAACATAGTTTAGAGTTGAGTATATATCTGGTCATTTTAATTCATAATTAGGAAAGATACTTGATTTTACATATATGTGCCTTTATGAAAGAATTTAATACCTCATTCATTCATTCAAAATATTTATTTTACACCTCTGATGAACAAAGTTTCCTTACAATATAGTCTATATTGATTCATTTTGTAATTTCTTTTTAACTTTCTACAAGTGACTAAATTGTTAGTATTGTATCTTATGTATTGGTTAGCATATTGTCACATAAGAGTTTCATCCCCCTCCTCTTTTTGGTTTACCACTTCAATTCCACAGATTTTATGCAATGATTGCAGCTCATGAAATGCATACTACTTTGATCTGTGACCTTTTTGTGGTGCTAATCGGGTTCCTGATATCATTATACCTTACTCATTAATCATATTTCCTGCAGCCCGTCAGGCAGCCAGACAGCACAATCCCTGTTTTCAGCCCTCTGTTGGCAGGTTTCTGCTTTTCCAGATTATTACAGACGATACTTCGGCTTCTCATAGCCAGAGCCACATCAAGCTGTGTGTTACAATTAAAGTCAGATGGTCCTCAGGTTGAACAGGGATATAGTGTTGCAGCTGTCCCTCTTCCTGGAACAAACCAGCACCAAGAACAGATGATCTATAGGACAGTGAATAATAACAGATTATACAATACTCGGTTGGTAGCAGGGGATCAGAGAATTAATTAACTGACATACTCATTTTAAGATACCCAGCATGTCTTTTTTAAGTATTTGGTTGTTAATTCAAGAGGATAGGGTATTTTTAGGAGCATGATTTTGGTAGTGAACCAGTAATGCTACATTCCCTGTTTGTGTTAGAGGACTGTAACTACTGTCTCACCCAACGACTCTTATCCTCAGTTTTCTGTAAGTAATGAAGATCTAAATGTAGGATTGGAAAACTGGCTAAGTGGATGGGCTTATGAACAGAAGATAATATCCTACATATTTTAGAAGGAAAACTCACCTAAATTTCATTAGTTTTTCAGAGAAGTAAATTATATTTTGTTCTGAACAGTTGGAATCAGGGTAAAACCAAAGCAGTCTTAATTATATCCCTGAGATTGGTCCCTGTTATCTACTATTACCTGAACTAGGAAAAAAATTTATTTCAGATACAGCATCAGAAATATAAATGAGAAAAAGGCTTTCATACTTTCAAATAATAGAAAAATTTATGAGTTCGGAATGCCCATCATCTGTCTCTTATGATATAATGTCAATGTTTGGACCTACATATTATACTGCCTCTTATAACCTTCAAGTTTCATGTTGAATAAGAGACAAAGAAAACCATACTCTGGGGAGAATCACTAAAAGTTGACCTTTAAAAATAGAGCATTTTGTTTTAGCCAAAAGATACATAATATACATAATTGATTCAAATTATAATAGTTCATTCATTTAACATGTATTTATTGGGTGCTTGCTTATGGACCAGCACTATTAGATTCGATGAATAAGAGACAATATCCCTATTTGGAGATTACCTTCTCTTTGATACCTTGTTGAAACAGAAAGCTTCTCAAGGCCTGGAGGTGGCATTAATATAGCAAAGGAAGCGTTCTCTTGTTGAATTGTCCTAAGGTTACCAGTTAAAATCACATTTACTTTTGTGTATGTTCTATAGCTTTTGTCTCCTCTACTATTTCATAATGGTGACACAAATAGTACTCACTTAACAAGGTAAAGAAAAATAAAATGAATATACTATCTGCTTTCCATTATCATCAGAGAATATGTGGACAAGTTAAAAGAGATGCTGTCCTTTCATAGTATTGCCTGACAGGAAAAAACAAGGTTGATAAAGAAATAAAATCTAAACTTGTTTCTATCATTGCTAAAATTTAAATCTATTCAACATAAACCTTTATAGATCTTACACCTCTGAATGAATTAGGTCAATCTTGTATAATTTTTTTCTCTGAATGGAAAATTTACACTTCTCAAGTGATGACAGCATAGAGACAGACTGTCATGCCCCCCACTGAACAAGAGTGGGGAAATGACATTCTTAAGACCACTGACCAGACAACATTTAAAAAAAAAAATTTTTGGAATTGAAATGCCAGAAGCTTTTTTCAAATTGTTTTTTTTGTTGTTATTGTTTCCTTTTCATTTCCCATATTGATAATGATGTGGCCAAGAATGTAAACAGCCGTGGTGGCTGCAGTTGGAAATAATTATTGTTAGCTGAGGGTATCTCCCTCTCATGTCTTCATCCTCTTTACTCCCAGTGCAGTGGTTGGATTTAAATTCCCTGGGAATGTAGGGAGATAGGTATGAAGAGTCTAAAATTACTATTGTTTGGTTTGCTTTTAGCCGTGATATGTAATTTACTGTGAAATTTTTAGTTAAAAAACGAGGACACCTAAATAAGAGGAAAAAAGATTTGCCATATTGATAGATTGTTAATTCTCCCCACATTTATTTATAAAGTCAATGTAAAAATATAAAAACCATTCAGTAGGTTTACTTTGTTTTGTTGGAAGATGATAAACTGATTTTAAAGAGCAAAGGACCATTATGGCCAAAATCCTTTTGGGGAACAAGAGCAGATTTCAGAGGGACTTGCTTTACTAGATATCAAAAATTATTATAAAGCTATAGTAATTAGGGAAGGAGAAGTAGTACAGGAAAAGTGAACAGAGAACCCAGAAATAGGCCAGGATATGTAAAGAAACCTCATCCATTATAGAGCTAGTATTGCAGAACTGTGGGGAAAGGAAGGACTTTTCAATTTAGGATTCTGAGATAAATAGTTATTTTATTAGTTTCCTAGGGCTTCTGTAACAAAGTATGATTATCTGGGTAGAAACAACAGAAATTTATTGTCTCACAGGTTTGGAGTCCAGAGGTCTGAAATCAAAGTTTAGCAGGGTTGATTTCTCCTAAATGCTGTACGGGAAGGACCTGTTCTAGCCCTCTGATTGGCTTATATGTGGCTGTCTTCTCCTTGTGTCTCTTCACATCATCCTCCCTCTATGCATGTCTGTCTGTCCAAATTTTTCCTTTTAATAAGGACACCATTCATATTAGATTAAGGACTCACCCTACTCCAGTATGGCCTATCCTAAATAAAGACTTCTGTAATGACCCAATTTTCATATAAGGCCACCTTCTGAGGTGCTGTTAGGTTGAGACTTTAACATAAAAATTTGGGGGGAGTGGCCACAATTCAACCTATAGCAGATATATGGGGAAAAAAATTTTAATTGGAACCTTATTTTATGCCACAAACAAAATGAAAGTATATTAAAGCTTTATATATAAAGGTAAAACTATAAACTTTAACAAGATAATACAGGAGAATTTCTATGTGATATTGGAATAGGGAAAGATTTTCAAGCAAGAAACAAAAAAGTGAAATATGATATATTATATAAATTGATTTTTGGTTGTTAAACCAGCCTTGCATTCACAAATATATTACACTTATATGTTTTAAGTTCTTTTGATATGTCCTGGATTTTTGTTTTGTTAGTATTTTCTTGAGGAATTACTACTTTTGAGGATTTTTGAATCTATATTTATGAGGAATATTAGTTTGCAGTTTTTTTGTGATATCCTCATCTGACTTTATTATCAGGGTAATACTAGTCTCATAGAATGAGACATGGCAGTGTTCCTTCTTCCTCTATATTTTTGAAGGACTTTGTGAATGCTACATATTATTTCTTCTTTAAATGTTTGGTGGAATTCACCACTGACGCTATTTAGGCATGGCCTTTTCTTTGTGAGAAGATTTTAAATTACCAAATCAGTTTTTTTAGTTTTTATAGGTCTATCAAGATTTTTTTTAAATTTTTTCTTGAATCTATGTCAGTAATTTATTTCTTTCTTGGAATTTGTCCATTTAACTAATTTATTTTTATAAAGTTGTTCATAGTATGACTTATTATCATTTTAATTTCTCTAAGGTTAGTAATGATATTACCTCATTTATACTGATTTTTGGTAATTGGTGTTATCTTTTTTTCTGGCTCAGTCTTGCTAAAAGGGTTTGTCAATTTTGTTGTCTTTTCAAAGAGCCAACTTTTTGTTTCACTGGTTTCCTCTATGGTGTCTCTGTGTTCTCTTTCGTTGAGTTTTCGCTCTAATATTCATTCTTTCTTTCCTTTTGCTTGCTTTGGGTTTAGTTTACTCTAACTAGATTATTAAATTGGAAACCTAGTTTTTTTATTTGAGTTCTTCTCTTCCAATATCAGGTTTTCCAATTACAATTTTCTCGTTATGTGTGGTTTTTGCTGTATCTCATAAATTTTGATATTTTGTTTCCTTGTTTTCATTCAGCTTATGCAATTCTCTTAATATTCTTGTGGTTTCTTTCTTGGCTTATGGATTGTTTAGAAGTGCATTGCTTGGTTTCCAAATATTTTCCAAAATCCCCTTCTGTATTTTCCAAATGTGTATTTTCCAAATTTTCTCCTGTATTTTCTATTTTTAATTTCATTGTGATTGGAGAGCATACTGTGTATGATTTCAGTTGCTTAAAATGTATTGAGACTTGTTTTCAACCTAGCATTGGGTCTATATAGGAGAATTCTTCATGTTATCTTTAGAAGAATGGATATTCTGCTATTGTTGAGTGTTCTGTGGATGTGAGTTGATTGACTTAGTTTTTTGTGTTTAACTATTCTGTATCTTTGCTGACTTTCTGTCTAGTTGTTTTTTTTGTTTTTGTTTTTGTTTGTTTTTGTTTTGCTAGTGGGATATTGAAGTCTCCAAATGCTGTTTTCAATTCTATCAGTTTTTGCTTCATGTATATTTGGGCTCTGTTATTAAATGTATATGTTAGTTTCCTATAGCTGCTATAGCAAATTACTGCAAACACTTGGTGGCTTAAACAGCAGAAATTTATTCTTTCACAGTTCTAGAGTCCAGAAATCTGAAATCAGTATCACACTTCGTCCAGAGGATGTCTGCCTGTGTCTTCACATTGCCTTCTTTTCTGTCTATAGCCAAATCTGTCCCTGTCTCCATTTTCTAAAGATACATGTGATTGCATTTAGGGTCCTCCCTCATAATCAGGATAATCTTCCCATCTCAAAATCCTCAACTGAGGCCAAGCACCATGGCTCATGCCTGTAATCCCAGCACTTTGGGAGGCTAAGGCAGGGCGGATCACCTGAGGTCAGGAGGTCAAGACCAGCCTGGCGAACATGGCAAAACCCCATCTCTACTAAAAATACAAAAAATTAGCCAGGCATGGAGGTGTGTGCCTGTAGTTCCAGCTACTCGGGAGGCTGAGGCAGGAGGATCGCTTGAACCTGGGAGGTGGAGGTTGCAGTGAGCTGCAATTATGCCACTGCACTCCAGCCTGGGCTACAGAGTGAGATTCCGTCTCCAAAAAAAAAATTCCTCAATTTAATGACATTGCAAAGAACCTTTTCCCATGTAATGTAGCATTTTACAGATTCCAGGGAGTAGGACCTGATATCTTCCTGGGGGTGAGGGGTACATTTTTCAGCCTATCACAGTGCATATATGTTTATAATTGTTATGTCTTCCTGATAAATTAACCAACTTTTTAGTCATAAATTGTCTCTGTTTGTTTTTAGTAATTTTTGAGTCTGTTTTGCCTGATACTGTTAAAGCCACGTCAGTTCTCTTATGGTAACTGTTTGCATGGTATACCTTTTTCCATTATTTTATTTTCAATCCATTTTTTTGGATTTTGGACACTTTCAAAATGTCTTTTGTAGATAGCATATAGTTGGATCATGTTACTTATCTAGACTGACAATCTCTGCCATTTGAAGTGTTTATTCACATTTAATGTTATTATTGATAGCATAATAATAGCACAATCCAGATAGCATCCAATAGCATAATCCAGAAATAGATCAGCACATGTAAAGAAATCTCATCTAGTAGAGAGTTCTATAATAGTTGGATTCATGTCTACCATTTTATTAATTATTTTCTTTAGTCTTGGGTCTTTTTGTTTTTCTGTTCCTCCTTTATCATCTTTGTTGTATTAAATAATATTTCTGGTCTACTATTTTCATTAAATTTTTTTTACTATGTATTTGTTTTAGTTCTTTTCTTAGTCGTATTTATAGAGACTACAATATACATTTTATTTTTTGAGACAGAATCTCACTCTGTCACCCAGGCTAGAGTGTAGTGGTACAATCACGGCTCACTGCAGCCTCAACCTCCTGGGCTCAAACGATCTTCTCACCACAGCCTCCTGAGTAGCTGGGAGTACAAACGTGTGCCACTACACCCAGCTAAGTTTTTTATTTTTCATAGAGATGAGGTCTCACTATGTTGCCCAAGCTGGTCTTGAACTCCTGACCTCAAGCAATCCTCTTATCTTGGCTTCTCAAAGTGCTGGGCTCATAGGCATGAGCGACTGCACCCAGTCTGCATTTTAAATTATGACAATTTACTTCAGGTTATTACCAACTTAATTCCAGTAAAATATAGCAGCTTTGCTCCAACTCAGCTCCATTCCTTACCCCTAATTTGTGCTATTATTTATATATATATATTACATTTATATATAAGCCTACTATGCAGTGTTATAAATGTTGTGTTATATGATCTTTTATCTCCTAAAGAAGTTAAGAGGAGAAAAAATATCTATTAATTGTATTCACTACTTTACCTTAATAGAAACATTTCAAAATGGCATCAGAAGAGTGCATCAGGTACTCAGCATCATCTAGGAATGGAATTAAAACATCATACAGTAAAAGTTTTATAGAATTGGGGTTTACACTTTCAAATACCAGTGGTTTTCACCATTTCCCTTGAAGAGAAATCTCTTTATGAAATGGATTACACATTTCTTTGCCTCTTAAATGGAGAATTCTTTCTGAAATTAAATCTTAAATAGCCTTTTCTGTATTACTAACAATTGAATATTCCAGACATTTTCCATGATGCCTTGAAGTTTCTGAGATGCATAGAGCTTTTTGTTCCTCACTTAAAATGACCCACATTCCTTTGCTTTCTTTTAGCTTTTCTGTCAGCATTCAAAGTTCTCTTCTATGTCAGATGTCACTTCTCTGTTAGGGTTTCCATCTTGTTGTGATTGATTATGTTATTTAATGCATATATGGCTGGGTTAAAAGCTTGAGGAATGACCCAATGCCTCCCACCGTTAAAGTTCATGAGCTTTTTGCTTGTTTTCCTCTTGGCCTTCAGTTGCTTTGAGTTTGACTGTGTTCTAGATTCTCTGAACACCTAAATTCTGAACTCTGGACAAATGAGAGTAAACCGCATTTTGTTTAGTGACATGTTATTGTGCTAGATACAAGCCAAATAAAATAAAATGATACTATTTCTAATATATGCTACATCCATGGTAGAAAAATATTCAAATTCTGTGTTTATTCTGGGGTAAGTAACTTCTATGATTTTCTACCACATTGTTAGTATTTCATTAAAATATATTAATGATTTTTAAATTTTGGAAAATTCTTCCCCGTGGGTATCTCATCTATATAATTGAAAAGGATTGTCTAATAGTAGTTACTCTTCCCTATAGACTTCAGCCTCAGTGATATAGCTGAAAGTGTGGGGGGAAATGCCAGATTTCTCCCTCTTCCTGACACAGGAACCTGTAATAGTTAGGCTTCTAGCTTGAGTTACTCCTCATGCTTTTCTTACCACAGTGCCTGCCACATGTTCTTCTTATCATTGCAGTATGAGCCTACCCTACTCCTTTTTTAGCCAAATGATACCCTAAAGCGTGCATCGTTACCCTTCTTATCACTATGCTCTCAAAAAGCAAAATAATCTAAAAACTTACAAATACTCTTCTCAGAACTCTCATCTTCTTTGAAACATTTCAGAAACACCCCTATATATTCTTTCCCAATTATTACTTGAGATGGTATTGTGCAGATGGCTGATCTAATTCATTTTAGAGCAGTTTTTCAATTATTTCTCTTTATTGATTATTAAACATTTCTTCATGTGAGATTCAGTCATGTCCATAACTAAATTGCAAAGACCCATGCCAGGCCCTTTGGAGTTCAGAATCTTCTATGGTGCATGAATTTGGCACAGTGGCTGCTCATGATATCAATAGTAATTACACCTTGTAAGTATTTGACACTTTATTCAAAATACTTCTGGTTTGGGTGGTGTTTTTTTTTGAGACAGAATCTCGCTCTGTCGCCCAGGCTGGAGTACAGTGGCACAATCTCAGCTCACTGCAACCTCTGCCTTCCAGGTTCAAGCAATTCTCCTACCTTAGCCTCCCAAGTAGCTGGGACTACAGGCACTCACCACCACACCTGGCTAATTTTTTGTATTTTTAGTAGAGACCGGGTTTCACCATGTTGGTCAGGCTGGTCTCAAACTCCTTAAACTCCTGACCTCAAATGATCTGCCCTCCTCAGCCTCCCAAAGTACTGGGATTACAGGTGTGAGCCACCGTGCCCAGCCAGGTGTATATTTTGTCATCTATTTCTTAATTTCATAATTTCTTTCTTTAAGGTTTTGAAATACCTTGTTGCACTGACTTCAGGAAAAAGAAATAAACAAAACCTCATTTATGGTAACTTAGTGCTTGTCCAAAGTTACTATAGGTTTGAAGTTAAAAAAAAGAAGGGGAAGGAGAAGGGAAAGGAGAAGGGGAAGAAGAAGAAGAAAGAGAGAGAGATACTTTTTATAATAAAAAAAGTTAAAAGATGGCTAGAAATCCCAGTATTTAATTTTTCATTTTTAATCTTTGTGTAAATTATCATGGTAGTGTGCTGCCAGTTACAGCTGGTAGTCATCGTTTCTGCGAGGGGCTAATGATAATGGCTAGAGAAGAGAAGTGAGGCTAATGGGCTCGCAATATGAAATTCACAAGAAGAAATTGAATTCACAGAGGAATGCTTGCTCACCAAGTTCACCTTGCCACCACCATTGCTTTCAGTAGTGCTCTGATTACAGGCAACTTCTGCCCAGTGGTGCTGTGCAGGAGCTGCCTGTAACCCCTCCCCTGCCTGTGTTTCTGGCACTGGGCCATGGCACCTGCAGTGGCAGTCTATCTGAAAAGCAGCGGCTCTGCTGTGGATTTTGTTCTGCCTCTGGATGCTTTCATGCAACTCTGCACAGGGTTACCCGATAAATGACTGCTTACTGTGGTATTTATGTCTGTTTGATTTGCCGGTAACTGGTGTATCTCAAACGAAAATTTCTTAGCAAAGACTTCTGTATATACTAGCAAATTTCCTTGATTATGTTAACCACTGTGACCTTCCCACCCACCTCCAAAAAAAAAGAAAAAGGAAGAAGAGGATTGCCACATGCTTATCCAGAACGGCTTAGTTTTTTGTGGTCCGGTTGATTCCTTTCTATATTTTTAATGATAATGCTATATTTTAGAATTTATATTTATATATATAGAGAGAGATAGATAATTCTATATTTTAGAATTATCATTAGAACATAGAGAAACTTTAGGATAAATATCAAAGTATTGCAATGCTAGGAAACAATGAATAGTTGTGTGAGTATTATATAAATAAACAAAAATAGGCCATTTTTTCTCTCCACTAACAGTTATTCTAAATAAATGTTAAGCTACTTTCTAAAGAAAAAGTAGATATTCTGATTCTTATTTTTAAGCAAAGGCAAATTTAGTTTGTATTATTTTTATTGTATTAAATGCCGTGACTATAGTACCTGGTTTTTATTTTGAGAAATTTATATCTCAAAATTTTCTGTGGCACTTAGAATTTCTATAGCTTAAATCAATTTTTGAGTTTTTGTTTCTTTTCTTCCCCGCTTCTTTCTTTCTTAATCAGTTATTCATTCACTTTATCGTTTCACTTTTTTTGTTCATATACTTATGCCATACTAAAAATAAAATGTTTGTAGCAATATGCTTAGGCATTGTTCTTAAAATAAGTTCTTTTTTTTTTTTGGTCTACTGCTGTACCACCCTGAAAGTGCCTGATCTCGTCTAAAATAAGTTCTTTTTTTGTATTTTATTTCCAAATAATTCCAAACTTATAAAAACTTGCAAAGAAAAAAATAGCACACAGAATTTTTTTTTTTTTTTTTTTAGTAGAGATGGCATTTCACCGTGTTAGTCAGGATGATCTCGATCTCCTGACCTTATGATTTGCCCGTCTCGGCCTCTGAAAGTGCTGGGATTACAGGCGTGAGCCGCCGTGCCCACAGAATTCTTATACACTTTTCTCAGGTTCACTATTGTTAACCTTTTTCCCTCCCTCTTTTTTATGTGAGTTTTCTCTCTCCCTCCCTTCCTCCTCTCTCTCCTCTTTTTTCACCCTCTCTGTAGTATATGTATATATACTCACACACCCACATAATTATATATACACACAATATTTTTACTGAATTCCTTAAGGTAAGTTACATACTTCATGGTCTTTTACCTCTAAATATTTCAGTGTGTACCTCCTAAGAATAGGGATATTTTCTTATGTAACTACAGCACAGTTATCCATTTTATAAACTTATGTTGATGTAATACTTTCGTCTAATTTACTCTCCATATATATCACTTTTGTTAGTGATATATAACATGTAATATTTATATAATTTTTACGCTGCAATATGGGATCCAGTCTAGGGTAAGTTACTGCTTTTAGTTGCCATGTAAATTCTTAGAAGTTACTTCTCCTGTAACCCTACTTGTATTAGTTTCCTAGGGCTGCCATTACAAAGTATAGTAAGTCCTCACTTAACATCATGGATAAGTTCTTGGAAACTGGGACTTTAAGTGAAATAATTACAATAGGTTCTCAGATAATGTCATTTAGTTATGATGTTATCGGAAAAAAATTGCTTTCCTTATGTGTCATTTTACTTAAAGTCACAGTTTCCAAGAACCTGTTGACAATGTTAAGTGAATAATTACTGTCCCACAAACTGCATGGCTTAAACAACATACGTTTATTGTCTGACAGTACTGGAGGCTTTAAGTCTGAGATCATGGAGTCAGCAGGGCCATTCTCCCGCTGAAGGCGATAGAGAAGGATCTGTTCCAGGCCTCTCTCCGAGCTTCTGATAGGTCCTTCAATTGCAGCAGTGTAACCTCGGTCTTCACAAGGTGTTCTCCCTGTGTGCATATCTGTCTCTGTGTCCACATTTTCCCCTTTCTATAAAGACACCAGTCATATTGGATTAGGGAACATCCAAATGACTTCATTTTAACCTGTTTACCTCTGTAAATAACCTATCTCCAATCTCATTTTGAGGTACTGGAGTTTAAGACTCCAACATATGGAGTTGTGTTGGAGGGGACACAGCTCAACCCATAACACTCACTCAACTACTTGTTCTGTCTTTTTGAAAGAAAACTTCTTTTTTTATTATTTTTTTAATTTTAAGACAGCATCTCATTGTCACCAGGCTGGAGTGCAGTGGCTGATCATAGCCTACTACAGTCTCAAACTCCTGGAGTCAAGTGAGCTTCTCGAGTAGCTAGAACTATAGGCACATGCCACCACATCTAGCTAATTTTATTTTTTGTGAAGATGGGGGTCTCCTAATGTTTGCTCAGGCTGGTCTCAAACTCCTGGCTTCAAGCCATCCTCCCTCCTTGTCCTCCCAAAGTGCTGGGATTACAGGCATGAGCCACTGCACTTGGCCTCAAAATGTTCTTTGAAACCGTCTTTTTATGATATCCTCTTGTTTTCATTTTTATTGAGCTGTATTATAGTTATTCCATTATGCTCTACACCAGAGAATAATATATAATGGATTCTGACTCAAATTCGTTTTAAAAGTAAAACGACAAAATTTTTGATCCAGGTTTTTTTGAAGAAATATAATCTGCATCTCAGCAGCAGATCACTTGTACATGTTTCTGGATCATCCCAGAAACATTCTAGTTGGTGCCATAGGAAACCACATAAAATAACTATTTCTTTTTAAACTATATGAAGATATTTATAAATTGGATACTCCCTAAATTGGAGGCTCTCACAAATACTGCTTAAAATTCTTCAGTGGTTACTTATAGCTTTCCCAGCTTTACAACATGACTTGGAATGATCTTCACAATTTACCTGCTTACTTCCCCAACTTCATCTCTTGAAAACTATAGTCCAGTAACACTGAACAATGTACACTTCTCTAAAATGGCTGTGTTCTCTCACATCTTATAAGCTGTTTCCTTTGCCTACAAAAATGCCAGATTCCTCCCCCTTGGGAAGCCTTGATTGATTGATTGATTGATTGTTTGATTGACAGAGTCTCACTTCATCACCCTGGCTGGAGTGCAGTGGTGCGATCTCCGCCCACTGAAACTTCCACCTCCTGAGTTCAAGTGATTCTCATGCCTCAGCCTCCCGTGTAGCTGGCATTACAGGCGCCACACTACCACACTCAGCTGCTAATTTTTGTATTTTTAGTAGAGACGGGGTTTCACCATATTGGCCAGGCACATCTCCAGCTCTTGACCTCAAGTGCTGTAATCCCACCCAAAGTGCTGGGACTACTCATATAAGCCACCACGCCATCCAGAAAGCCTTTAATTATACCTCTATCCACTCTTCAACATTCCCTCACCACCAACCACGCCAACAGAGTCCGCCTGAGATGTTTCTCCTGTGTTCTCTTTTAAGTGGACATACTTAACAGCTAGCATGTTAGTGGTGGCTCAGCATCTCATTTTCACCATGAGATGTTGAGCCGCTTGAGGACCTCTCTTATTCTTTGTTTTCGCAACTGTAGCACAATATCTGGTCTATATGGGGTATCATGGTCATGTTTGCTGAAAGAATGAAAAATGGATGAGTCTTCAAAAAGTATCAGAAGAGAACCAAAATGCTTTATGACAACAGCAGAGCTTGAGCATCTTGAGAACCAACTTTGCCCAAGAATATTGATTAGTAGTTTCTGCCATGGTCACAGGAAAGGAGAATTTAGCATTTTGTGTCTCTGTGTGTCATACCTGAATAAGAGTCTATTGGTGCAAAAGAGCATATCCAATAGTGATATTCATAAAATAAGTGACGCAAAATAGTCCATGCAGGATGGGCACAGTATTTCAATAAAATACAGGTAGTTAAGTAAAGGTAATTTCTAGTTGAGTACATAACTGAGACAGAAAATATGTGCATAGCAATTTTAAGGTATGTTAATAAAAAAGATAAAGAATTTACTAAAATTAAATTGCAAGAATTCTGCAACCATATTTTCTTTGCAATTTAATTTTCTGTATTTTAATTTCTTGGGATATATTTATATTTGGCAGTATAGGATGGAATTTTCAAAAACAATATTGAAAAGGGCTGGGCATGGTGGCTCACACCTGTAAATCCCGGCACTCTGGGAGGCTAAAGCAGAGGATTGCTTGAGCCCAGGAGTTTGAGACCAGCCTGAACAACACAGCAAGACTCTGTCTCTACAAAAAACAAAAAAACTTATCTAGGTGTGGTAGCACATGCCGGTAGTTCCATCTACATGGGAGGCTGATGTGGGATGATCACTTGAGCCCAGTAAGTAGAGGCTGCAGTGAGCTGTGATGGCACTACTACACTCCAGCCTGGGTGACAGAGCAAGACCTTGTCTCAAAAAAAAAAAGAAAGAAAGAAAATTGGAAAACAAGTCTAAAATGTTTAGGTGTAAGATATCCACCTTCATGAATGCCTCTTAATTAATAGTTTCCTCTATTACTTAAGAAATACATTAATTATTCAGAAGTAAAAAATAATTTTTCCTATGAATCGTTTTATACCAAATGCAATAGTTATTTTTCAGTAAAAGCAAAATAATTGTTCTACATAGCATACTAGAAACATTGAGAGCAAAAGTAAGGACCACTTTTTGTCCAGCAGCATTTACTTTTTCATTTTTATGAGCTCGTGAAATCTACCTCTGTCAATTGGCTTATTTTCTTCTGGGCTCCACAGTATTTTTCTTTGAAAGTGTTTTACTGCATTTCCCTTCGGTTAGTCTTATTGATTGTATAGTCAATTTGTAATTGTTTTTTCTAAGTAAAATCTTTCATACATTGTACTTTGTTAGTCCCATGCTTATTTAGATCTGTTCCATTCACCATCTCACATATTTCTATTCCACCAACAGAATGTCTGTGGAGAAAAACTCTTGCCAGGATCTCATGATCCCTTATTTTCTTCTTTCTACTTTTTTTCTGTGCTAGAGAAGATACTAAAATATATATGTAATTATTTTTGTAATGCTCACTGTGCAACATATTTTCAATAGACAAAATTTATATTTCGCTTTGTTTAATGGGATTTTGTTCATTAAACTTTAGATTTTTAGAAGGATAATAAGAGCTGTCGTGCGTTGAACACTTAATAATATGCACCAGACATTGTTGTAAGCCATTTATGGATTAACTCATCTAGGTCTCACAATAAGTTTATGAGGTAAGTGCTATTATTACTCTCAACCTGTAGATTAGAAACTTGAGGCATAGAGAGTTTAGGTAACTTGTGAGTTTAGGTAACTTGTCACAGCAATCATAAATATTGAACTGGGATTCCAGTGCAAGAAACCTGTGTTGTTATACTCTACATTATACTTCCTATGATAAAATTATACTACTGCATATGTTTTAATAAGTTTTAGTTGTACAAATGAGACCATACCTATTTTAAGAATACATTCTTAGGCCTGGCATGGTGGCACATATCTATAATCCCAGTGCTTTGGGAGGCCAAGGGAGGAGGATTGCTTGAGCCTGGGAGTTTGAAGCTAGCTTGGACAACATAGTAAGACCCCATCTCTACAAAAAGTAAAAATATTAGCTGGGCATGGTGTCATGTGCCTGTAGTCCCAGCTACTTGGGAGCCTGAGGCAGAAGGATGCTTGAGCCTGGGAGGCTGAGGCTGCAGCAAACCCTGATTGTGTCACTGCACTCCAGACCAGGCAACAGAGCAAGACCCTGTCTTCAAAAAAGAAAAAAATGAATACCTTTTTGTATCGTACATTGTATGAAAATATGCACTTAATGAGAGGAAAATTACTTTCATTTTTCACTTTTCATCAGAAAAAATATGAAAATTTATTTTATTTTAGAATTCGGAGAAAAGAAAAATTTAGGATATAAAAATGTAGTATATAAGATGTGTTTATGTGTATGATATCTCAATGTAATAAAAACATTACAAGGACATACACCTACTCCAGTGTCTTAAAGCGTCAGTGTTTTTTTGCTTTTCTCTTTCCGTTGCTTTTCAAATGTTTTTAATGATTAGTTATTATTTTTAATAATGGAAATAAATAGTAAATTGTGTTTTGAAAGTGGGAACAAGTGGCAAATAAAGTTTTGTAGTTGTATTAAGATTTCCCAGAGAATCAGAGCCAATAACATCTATATATGTTTATGTGTGTGAGTGTTTGTATAATAAAAGAAACCTATGCCACAGCCATATAGAAAATTCATTGTCCTAATCATTTCCTATTTTTTCTAGACTATAAGTTTATTCATTTCATATGGCACTTGTCAAGTGTCAGTACCTGGGAAAGGCTTGTGAGCAAACATTTTTCATCAATCTCTAATTAGTAAATAAACCAATACATTCGTATTCTACTACTAGTTGATTCTCTAGAGTGATTGAAAAGAATTTTCCCTCAATAGCTTTTCCCTGTAGACTACTATTATGGTTAATTTTATATGCCAGCTTGAGTGGGTTGAGGGATGCCAGGATAAGTGATAAACATTATTTCTGGGAGTACGTGTGTGTGTGTGTGTGTGTGTGTGTGTGAGATGAGATTTATTATGGGAATTGGCATGTGTGATTATGGGGGCTGAGAAGCACCACAGTATGCCATATTCAAGCTAGAGACCCAGAGGCTGGTGGTACAATTCAGCCCAAGTGTGAAGTCTTAAGAACCAGGGGAACCAATGGTGTAACTCCCAGTCTGATGCCAAAGGCCTAAATTCCCAGGAGTAGGGCACTGGTGTAAGTCCCTGAGTCTGAAGACTCACAGACCAGGAGCTCTAATGCCTAAGGGCAAGAGAAGATGGGTGTCTCAACTCAAGGAGTGGGTGGAGGGAATTCATCCTTCTGCTTTTTTATTCTGTTCTGGTACTCATTGGATTGGATGATACCTGCCCATGTTAGTGAGAGTGGATCTTCTTTGTTTAGTGTGCTGATTCAGATGCTAACCTTTTCTGGAAACACCCTCACAGACATTCTCAGAAATAATGTCTTACCAGCTATCTGGGCATCCCGCAGCCCACTCAAGTTGACACAAAATTAATCATCATAATAGTCTACGGGGGAAAGATGCTGAGGGAAATTTTTTTTTCAATTCTAGAGAATCAATTACCAGTAGAATACTGTAGATTGTACTGAAAGATTGTTGGTTTATTTACTAAATAGCAATTGATTAAAAATGTTCACTCAAACCTTTCCCAGACACTGATATTTGACAAGTGCCATATGAAATGAATAAGCTTATAGTATAGGAAAAGATTAAGATAATGGAATTTTTTGTATGGCCATTGCATAGGTTTCTTGGGAAAGAATAGCCAGGGATGAGGCTTGGGAGGTTAAGTTGAGGTCACATTTATGAAGAGGCATTTATACCTTGCTGAGGAGTTGGTACTTTCTCTTACAGACAGCCAGGAACTGCTAAAAAGACATGGGAATGATATAATTATATTTAATTTATTCATTAGGAAGATGGCAGTGTGAGTATCGGACTCAAGCTAGGAAAGAATGGAGACAGGAAAATCAATTAGGAGGCCATAACAGTTAAAGGAAATTAAGCAGGAGATGATGACCTTAGTTAAAACAATGACAGAGAGGACAGAGAAGACATTCTAGATTCTAGAGACATATCAGAGTCATAAAGAACATAAGGGGAAGAAGTTGAAGATAATATTGAGATTTTTAACTAAAGTTACTGCATGAATTGTCATACTAACAATTGAAATAGGCATTACAGAAAGAGGAAAAGATAAGTTCTTTGAGGAAGATAAATTCAGTTTTAGACATGTTACAGTAAATATATTAATATGGAATTTAAATATATTAAGGTAAATAATAGGATAGATGATAATTCTATTATGTACACTTAATCCCATTTTTATCTTCTTTAGTAATAGATAATATTAGCATATAATTGATTGAAGTAATTAGAACATCTTTTCCTAACTCTGCTGGCTCATTTTTACCACAGTAGCCTTTCTTATCTCTTATATGAACTATGGTAATAACGTCCTTCTAGTCTCCCTATCACTTTTTTATACATTTGATACACTGCTGATAAATATATCTTGCAAATGGGCAGTACAATTGTGTTATGCTCCTGCATTTAAGCCATGACTACAAGCATATAATAGTGTTTATTCAGGTACTCACTGGTCTTGGGTGGGATTGTTCCCTACAGACCACCTGCTCCCCACCATCTCACCATGACACCTCTACTACATGTAGATTAAGCTTATAGTATATTATCACAAAAATATTCTGTTTTCAACATTCTATTTTCAAATAACTCTTATACCAAGTGAAGCCTGTGCCATGTAAATTCTACCCATTGGTCCTCATTCTAGCTCTAAGGCTTAAACAAAGCAAATTAAATCTCACTTTAGTCCTGATATGTAAAGACAATAGCCATGCCTGCCAGGTTTTCTTTCTTTCTATGACATCACAGTTGTACTTTGTACTTCTCTTTTAACCCTTTACTCTGCCATTTATTATACTTTCTACCTATTAGCTTTATCCTCCTGTGCCCCCTCCTCCGTTACTTGTAAATAGTGACTTAAACTTAGTAAACTTTCAGTGAATATTTATTGATAGACCTACAACTCTAACTTAAGTACCATAATTAACATATCTAATTAATTTGATCACATATTTTACACTTTTCATATCAACTGCCTCTGTAATTTTATAAAATTTTATGACATATGCATGGTCATGTCTGAATGAATATGCATTCATACTCAGAATATTTGGAGATTAATCCCAGAGCTTCAGTATTAGCTAACTTTTGACCACAGCTGTGTTACTTAACCTCTCTTGGCTGTAAATAGATAATAGATATTTAATACAGGCAGTAGGTTTTAAACATGACAGATTTAGAATAGGAATAATATTGAATGATCACAAGGCCTCTAAGGCAAAGAAATTGTTATGTAAAAGAAGATTAAATCTTCTCTGCTGTGGTAACATAAAATAATGATTGGTAACACTGTTGATGTGGAAATGCATTCAGTAGAGAAAAGTAATAGGTGAGTCCTATTGCTGCATTTCTTACAAGGGCATCTGAAGTTACTTATTACTCTTGTGAAAACATGTTGACCTACTCTTTATGTAAAAGTGTCTGCAATTATAAAGTCAACATTAATAATCTAGCATTGGTTGATAGAATCTGCATTTCAACTCCATAGAAATTAGTGGTTATAGACAACTTGAGATCAATGATGCTATAAAGAAACAAACTATGGACCAAGGGCAGTGGCTCATGCCCATAATCCCAACACTTTGGGAGGCCAAGGTGGGAGGATGACTTCAGGCCAGGAGTTCAAGACCTGCCTGGGAAACATCCCAAGACCCCATCTCTACAAAAAGTTTAAACAATTAGCCAAGTGTAGTGATGCACACCTTTAGTCCCAGCTACTAGGGAGGCTGAGGTGGGAGGATCACTTGAGCCCAGGAGTTTGAGGTTACAGTGTGCTAGGATCATACCACTGCACTATAGCATGGCAACAGAGGGAGACCCTGTCTCTAATAAAAGGAGGGAGGGAGGGAGGGAAAGGGAGGGAAGAGGTGAGGAGAAGGAGGGAAAGAATGAAAGAAATTATGAATGCAGAGTCTAGAATTGTAGAGGTGGGGGGGAGAAAGAGTTTATTATAATGCCTGACCTGCAAGTAGAGAAAAGCATTAAAAAAAAAAAAAGATTTTAGCACATATCTTTCATTGCTTCTGAAAGTCCAGTGTTTCATTCAGCAAATATGTATTGGGGCTAATGTTTGCCAAACATCCTACTTAATTCTGAGAAAATACAAAGATGAATATATATAATCTCTACCCTGTAGGTATTTACCATCTAATAATGGAAATAATTAATCCAGAATGTCGTTAATCAGAGCATAGATAGCAGAGCAACTAAATTTCATTCAGAGAATGAGGATACTTAAGAGACAGTTGAGCTGGGTATTGAAGGATTAGTTTGCCATCTGCTATGGATGGAATCATATTCTCCCCCCTTTTTTTTTTAACTTTAAGTTCTGGGATACATGTACGGAACATGCAGGTTTGTTACATAGGTATACATGTGCCATGGTGGTTCGCTGCACCTTTTAACCCGTCATCTAGGTTTTAAGCCCTGCATGCATTAGGTATTTGTCCTAATGCTCTCCCTCCTCTTGCCCCCCACCCCTCGATAGGCCCTGGTATGTGATGTTCCCCTCCCCCTGTGTCCATGTGTTCTCATTGTTCAAATCCCAATTGTCTCTGTTTGCAGATGACATAATTGTATATTTAGAAAACCCCATATTCTCAGCCCCAAAACTCCTTAAGCTGATAAGCAACTTCAGCAAATTCTCAGGATATAAAATTGATGTGCAAAAATCACAAGCATTCCTATACACCAACAGTAGACAAGCAGAGAGCCAAATCATGAGTGAACTCCATTCGCTCACAAAGAGAATAAACTACCTAGCAATCTCCCAAAATTTATATGTTGAAGCCCTACCAACAATGTGAGGATATTTGGAGATGGGGCCTTTAAGAAATAAAGATAATTAGGTTTAGATGACATTGTGAGGGTATTGGAGCCGTCATGATGGAATTAGTGCTCTTATAAGAAGAAACAGCAAATATGCAGACACCCTACTCACTCTGCTCTCTCTTTCCCCCTGGACTCCCAAATCCCCTATGTGAGAGGAACTAGTGAGAAGGCACTGTCTACAATCCAGTAAAAGGGCTCTTACTAGAAACTGGCCATGTTGGTACCTTTATCTCAGACTCTAAGAACTGTGAGGAAATAAAATTCCTGTTGTTTGTTACCCAGTTTATGATATTTGTTATCGCAGTCCAAACTGACTCAAAGATGAAGAACTGAGAAAGGAAGAAGAGAGCAAATGAAGGTATGTTGGGTAAATGATGAACAGTTCCGTGTAGCTGGGGTGAATAATAAAGTGATGAAGAATAAGACTAGAAAGGACATTTTGAAATTTAACCTATTGGCAATAGAAAGGCAGATGTTTCAGTAAGAAAAATTTTGTAAAGTTTTTTTTTTTTTTTTTTTTTTTTTTAAAGAGTAACAGAGTATCAATCAGATTCTTATTTTAGGATTTTTATGTTACTCAGATGACAGTGGGTTGGAGGGAGAAGAAACTGAAGGAAAGGAAACCAGTTAGAAGGGTGTGAGCTGAAATAAATTCTGAGAGCCTAAACCAAAGAAGTGGCACTCAAGAGGAAGAAAAATATTTAGAAGGTAGAAGAGAGACCATCTTTTCCAGCACCTAGCACATTACCTGGCACATGGTATCACTTGAACAGTAATTATTGACCAATTATATCTTAGCTAATTCCCTAGAATTTAATCTCTCACTGTACAGAAAATTCAGTGAAGTTGGGAACTACACACACACACACAATTTACTTACCTAGTTCCTGTCACGTATATGACATAGTGTCTGGCCTAAGTAGGAATCTAGTAACAGTTTGTTGAATCAAATATGTTCTCCAGTCATCTTTCTGTCTCACCCTAAGAAATGCTTCTCATGTTTGAGTGTAATTGATCTTTTAGGGCTTCCATCTGATCATATTGCCTTTTTTAGACTATGCCCACATACTCTGTTTCTCCCAAAATAAATCTTTTTATATAAAAGCCAGTTTTAAGGTTTACATCTTTCATACAGACCAAAAAGTAGTGGTTAAATGGACATGGAAAGTTTCTTCCTGAAGTAAAAGTCTGAACTGGTAGGCAATCCAAGGAATTAGAGCAAATTGAATCCATGATGTCATCAAAGGACCCGGGTTCCTTCTGTCTGGTTTCATCATCATTCAGGGTTTGCTGTTCTTTTGCAGTCACCCCGTATATCCACATTTTAGCCCTTTGGAAAGAGGCAACAGTAAGTAGAGGACACACAGTTGCTTTTTAAAAGAATGTGACTAGGAAGTTGGGCACATCATTTTTGCTCACATTCTGCTTTCTAAAATGTCATCACCTGGTGACTCCTAGCCATATGGGAGTTTGGGAAGTGCGGTATCAAGCTGGGCTTCCTAAAACTGCAAGGGAGGATGGGTCTATTGCTAAAAGGAAGAAGGAGGTAAATAGACAATGGGAGACAATTAGTAGCTAATGCTGTAATAACAAATGAGGACACTGATATTATACAATACATCAGGAGAAAATTTCTGATTTCAGCTTGAGAGGTTCTAGCTGAACAGTTTATTTAGCCTTATTGCTGTCACCTTCTTTTATCAGAATTTTCTGTGTCATCCTTTGCTTTCCTCTCCTGGTATCACTCAAGAAGAATAAAGGTATTAGGGGGTAGAAGAAATGATTACTCAGCAATGGAAAGAGAGGATAAACTAAGAGAATGAATTTGAGGAAGAATTCCTTCCTTGAGGAATTTTTGGGTAAATTTTGGGAAATTTTGGGTAAAAATTCCTTGAGGAAGAAATTTTTGCCTATTTTATATCCCACTACCTATGGAATAAGAAATATGTGTCAAGGGAAGGAAAGGTTCTAGAGTAAGACTGGCAAAAACCAGGTGAGAAAACTTTATTCACAGTTAGTGGTAGGGTCACTCTTAAAATGAGATTGCTGTAGACTTCTGGCAGTTATCAGAGCATAGCAAAGGCAGGTCAGATGGCAGAGAATGTGATGTGGGGAGTGAGGCAGATGTTTTAGTAAGAAAAATTTTCCATTCTCAGAAAAGATAGCCAAAGTGTTAAGTCCAGGGAAAGCACATTCTGTGGTTTGGATTTATCAAGAAAATGGATGGCTTAGGCTGGAAAAGTGTATTCTCTGGTTCTGTACTTTTCAAGAAGATAGACAGCTTAGGCCAAAGACCTGTAACTCTTTTTTATATAAGAGTTGCAGAAACATTTCAACTGCTGGAGAAGGAAACTTCCTTTATTTAATCGGTGTGATAACCAAATAAATTGATCTTACACTAATGATGTAAGCTAAAGTATTACATCATGAAGAATTACCCATTAGAATGCCATGTAATGGAACAGAACTTGGTGTGTTTCCAAGTGCTTAAAAAGATAAGAAGCACTTTTCTGAATAAATATTGATGTTAGTTGCAGATACTCCGTTCCTTCTCATCCACTGGCAAAAAAAAAAAAAAAAAAAAAAATACCCAGACAAAAATGGAAGTCCAGATCTCTGTATTCACAATGGATTGTCTCACATTTGTTGCCGACAACACTGACATTATGTACCATAGGAATTTGTTGGTGAATCCATTCATTATTGATCCTGCCACTAACAAATTTAGTAAGACTGCTGGTGCCTAAGAGTGAGACTATTAGACATGTTCATGGTTAGTCTCTGGAGTTTTGATTCCTTTCTTTTTTTTTTTTTTTTTTTTTGAGACAGAGTCTTGCTCTGTCACCCAGGCTGGAGTGCAGTGGCGTGATCCTGGCTCACTGCAGCCTCAGCCTCCCAAAAAGTTGGGATTACAAGCATGTGCCACCACGCCTGGCTAATTTTTGTATTTTTAGTAGAGATGGGGTTTCGCCATGTGTTGGCCAGGCTGGCCTCGAACTCCTGGCCTCAAGCAATCTGCCCACCTCAGCCTCCTGATTCCTCTCTTGATTCCTCTCTTGATTCAGGTCATAACAAAGCAAAACTCTGAACAATATTAACCTAATCTCCTATGGAGTATTTATTTATTTATTTATTTATTTATTTAGAGACTGAGTCTCACTCTGTTGTTCAGGCTGGAGTGCAGTGGTACAACCATGGCTCACTGCATCCCCAACCTCCTGGGCTCAAGCAATCCTCCCACCTCAGCCTCCTGAGCTGGGACTACAGGCACGTGTCACCACACCTGGCTACAGAAATATTTCTTAATTGGCATTTTCCTAGCCCTAAATTTACTGCCTTTATAAAAGTTAATAAGATAATCTTGTGTTGTGATTCTTTTGGATCTTTTACAAAGATCCAAAATTGAAGATACTCATTCTTCTTGATGTTTTCTTGTTATTCTTCTTGAACCATGAATGCTAATAGTTTTTATATTTCTTCATTCAATAATTATAGTGTCACATACTTTTCTAGGCTCTAGAACAGACTTGTCTACTAATATTTCTGTGGTGATGGAAACCTGCATGGTCCATTATTGTACCCACTAGCCACATGTGGCTATTGAGCACTTGAAGTGTGAGTAATATTACTGAGGAACTGAATTTTTAGTTTTAATTAACTTAAATTTAAATTTAAATAGCTTCATTTGGCTAGTGACTACCCTATTGACTGTGCAACTCTTGAGATACAGTGGTTGATGATAAAGTCCCTGCCTTCTTGGAGTTTATACTTCTACTCTGCTGATATTCATGAACTAGTTTAAGCACTTTATTGTATGTAATCTCACTTAATGCTCCCAACAGGCTTTTAAAAAATTATATCACAATTTCCTACTTCTTCTATTTAGAATGAGAATGTCTATCCTATATCTGCCCCACCACTGTATTTTGGAAACAAATAATCTGTCTGACTTCAGAGGTTCACAACTGGGAAGGAATTTTGCCTAAAGATGATTCGTACCTCAAGTTTCACCCATGTCTGAGTTAGATGATATTTAGATGAGACTTTGAACTGTAGACTTTAGAGTTGACCTTGGAATGGGTTAAAACTTTGGAGGCATTTGGGATGGAATTAATGCATTTTGCGTGTGATAAAGGCATGAATTTTAGGAGGTTAGAGGCAGAATGCTATGGCCTGAATTGTGTCCCCCGAAAATTATGTTGGAGCCCTAATTACACCCCTGTGATTGTATTGGAGATAGATTCTTTAAGGAAGTGATTAAGGTTAAATGAGGTCGTAAGGGCGGAGCCCTGTTCCAGTAGAACTGGTGTCTTTATGAAAGAGGAAGGGTTACCAGAGATCACTCTCTCTCTATCATGTGAGGGCACAGTAGGAGGAGAGTGCTCATCATAAACCAAATCTTATGGGAACCTTGATCTTGGACTTTTCAGCTTTCAGAAATTCTAAATTAATTCAGCCTTCAGAACTAGATTTCTCATGTTTAAGCCACACAATCTGAGGTATTTTATTATGGCAGCCAGAGCAGACTAAAACACCCCGAGTCTTTTATTCTACTTTAGTATCATGACTTTCTATGTATCATCACTCTCTTTACCTTCTATCCCTTCTATACTCTACCTGTAATAGCTGTCAAATCTTAATTTTCCAAAGGTAACTTTAGTAATTACAGTTGCTTTATTGAAGTATCTGCTTCTTAACTTACTCTTTTTATATCTTTTCCTTCCAAATAATTTTTGCTCAAATGTTATGCATGGTTTAGGAGCCATCTTAAATTTTACATCCCTTAGGAACTTTTTTCCCTGACTCCACCCCCTCCTCACCCCTTGAATTCTTATAGAATTTGTTATATACATTGCACAACTTAATTGGCATTTCTTACTTTTCAGTTTGATTTCCTTAAATGTTTGAAATTCTTTTAGGAGTAGGATCTTTTTTCATAACATCAATCTTATAATACCTTAATAACCCTGATGAAGAAAAGAGAGAATTGAGCAACTCTTAGGCCAACAGGGTTTATTTAATCAATTACAAATTGCAGTTTATCAAATATATCAAGCCTAGTCATTTGAAAAATGTTGTGCTTGGTAAATCTTATTTTCGGATATTATACTAAAATATTACAGCACATACTTATTTAAAACAAGAACTCTCATTGTGGTATTTACCTTCCATTCTAAAACCATATAAAGGTAATATAGATTGCCTTATGACATAACTTTGAACCTTTTTTTAATGGAAGAATATGAATGAAAATAATTTGACAGCAAAAGAAACTATCCACAGAGTGAACAGACAACCTATGGAATGGGGGAAAATTTTTGCAATCTATCCATCTGACAAAGGTCTAATATTTAGCATCTACAAGGAACTTAAACAAATTTACAAAAAAAAAATTAAAAAGTGGGCAAAGGACTTGAAAAGACACTTCTCAAAAGAAGACATACATGTGGCCAAAAAGCTTGTGAAAAAAAGCTCAACATCACTGATCATTAGAGAAATGCAAATCAAACCCACAATGAGATACCATCTCACACCAGTCAGAATGGCTATTATTAAAAAGTCAAAAAGCAACAGATGCTGGCGAGGTTGTGTAGAAAAAGGAATGCTCTTACACTGTTGGTAGGAGTATAAATTAGTTCAACCATTGTTGAAGACAGTATGGTTATTCCTCAAAGACCTAGAGGCAGACACACCATTTGACCCAGCAATCCCATTACTGGGTATATACCCAAAGGAATATGTTATACTATTATAAATATACGTCTGCATGGATGTTCATTGCAGCACTGTTCACAATAGCAAAGGCATGGAATCAACCTAAATGCCCATCACTGATAGACTGGATAAAGAAAATGTGGTACATATACTCCATGGAATAGTATGCAGCCATAAAAAAGAATGAGATCATGTCTTTTGCAGGGACATGGGTGGAGCTGGAGGCCATTATCCTCAGCAAACTAATGCAGGAAGAGAAAACCAAATAGCACGTGCTCTCACCTAGAAGTGGAAGCTGAATGATGAGAACACATGGACAGGGGGAGGGGAACAACACACACTGGGGCCTCTTGGAGGGTGGGGGGTGGGAGGAAGGAAAACATCAGGAAGAATAGCTAATGGAGGCTGGGCTTAATACTCAAAGGGTCACTAATATATACTATAGAGCATATTTATGTGTATCCTTTTTAAATTTGTTAAACTATGAGGTATGAAATAATATTTAGAAAACATTAATGAAATACTGCATTAGAAAAAGGTATTTAATTTTTTTTTTCATTTTAAACATTTCGGAGTATCATTTGGAGAGTTATGGAGAATGCTGATTTTGATTATTATGATGCCAAATACTGAGAATATCTTACATGTATCTTCTGAGCAGAGCTTCTGTTCCACAAAGTTAAATCCATGCTTAATATAATTTTTGCCAAGTAAATTTTAGTTGATTGCACCTCAGTTGTTGATTAGTAACCCATCGGCAGTAGAAAGATGGCAGTGTTTTTTCCAGGCTGTTTGTTCCTCTAAGTATCTAGACGAGGCCGAGTCAGCCTTATGGGTCTAAAGCTGCCAATTTTCCTGTGGTTTCTTTATTTCTTTATCCCTTTATCCAGCTGCTACTTACTGCTATTGCCACATTTGCCCTCTGGCTCATGGGATAGCATGCTTAGCTTCCCCTGAGGCTACTGTTAATGCTTCCTTTTTACTCTGCTGGCTGGAAATGTACTTGGCATCCTTAGTCTTAAACCTCTCCTCCCTCTTTTTTCCACAGACACCAGGCACTTAAGTAGCACTTTCAGCCTGCACCAGTTATCAGTAGTAGCTTTCAACCCCTCATTTCTGGTCTGGTAACTCAGCACACTGTCCCAAGAGAGCTTGACTAAGCCAATTTGCCCCCTCTTCCCTTCTTCCTCTGTCTGTTCATCTTTCTTTTTTCTTTTTCCTACCCATCCATTTCCTTGACTCTCCTTTTATTTTTCTCTTACTCTCTTTAATCTCCCAAATGATTTTTTTCTGCTTTTAGTATAGCAGATGCCCCAGAATTAGGCAGATACTTGTAATAGAAAATAAAACAATAGTAAATTTTAAAATTAAACATTTGCTCAAGATTGGATCAACTAAAAAACGAGTTTATTTTTTATGACTGGTCTATTCGCCCCTTTATGGCTATAATGCAGATTTTTTGTATTAAAAGTGTATAGGTTTGTGTTTTTGTTTTTTTTGTGCTTTTACATAAAGAGTTGTGAAGATCGTTTTTATGCAGGCCTGCTCATTCAAGATGATCTGTGATGTGGGAAAAAAGTAAAATCTTTTTCTAGCTAATGTTTTACAAGGAAAAGAAAAGCTACTTTTATTTTTATTTATTTATTTTTTTACATACAATGATTCGAATACACAGTTTGAGTTATTTTTCAAACTAACTTTCTCTGAATATGCTATAAATGTTGGCTGTTCATTTTTCAAGTAATGGTTTGTAAACAACTTTTAGGCATTCTTAGCTAACTAATATTTATGACCAATAGTTTAGGACATAAAGATTATACCTATGAATTGGGGGATCAAGAACAGTAACAGTGCTCTGCAGGCCTCGATCATTAACTGCCAACAAAATCTACAGGACAATTCCAAATGTCTGCAAAAGAAAAACATGAAAAATTCATACTGATAATTATAGATCAGAATCATTTAAAGCCCTTATCTCCTTCCTCCTCTCATTTCCCTAATCTTAATTCTTTCCTCTGAAAAAAAAAAAAGAAATTAAAGTTTGTATTTTATAAATCCAACAAATTGTGAATTCTTTTTCTCTAGCCTTATTTAACCAAAATATATATTGTTTTACTCTACCTCCACAATTAGGTCTGTATTTTAAAGATACAAAATGCCCTTCTCATCGTAATTCCCTGAAGGTATTTTTATTTAGTTTGTGAGGTTTAATGCTGGGTCTAAGTTTAAAGGAAGCATTAGCCCATAAGAAGTTAGATGCTGTTTCATAACCTTAACTAGGAGTCAGCCACTCTTACTCCTTTGCAGAGCATAAGAAAGGAGGATCAGGAAAGAAGAGGATCTGCTTTTCACATTCTTAAATGTCCTGAATTTAAATCTCTTTAGAAAAGAAGGCTTTATTTATCAGTTTCACAACCTTTTATATAGATGTAAAAAATACACACTGGGCCGGGCTCAGTGACTCAGGCCTGTAATCCCAGCACTTTGGGAAGCTGAGGTGGGCGGATCACCTGAGGTCGGGAGTTCAAGACCAGTCCAACCAACACGGAGGAACCCCATCTCTACTAAAAATACAAAATTTGCCGGGCATGGTGGTGCATGCCTGTAATCCCAGCTACTCGGAAGACTGAGGCAGGAGAATCGCTTGAACCCGGGAGATGGAGGTTGCGGTGAGCTGAGATCGCACATTGCACTCCAGCCTGGGCAACAAGAACAAAACTCTGTCTCAAAATAAATAAATAAATAAATAAAAAATAAAAATAAAAAAACTGTTCCTTAATGTTTGTATTAAGGAGCCAATAAACAATAGAATATTATAATAATTTGAATATGCTTTTAAAGCTACATATATTACCCCTGCCAGACTGTAATGCTATACACACTCCCCTTTTTCACCACCTGGAGGCAGATGGATGGGTATTAGCAATTTTAGCATTTAGACATTCTTTTTGAGAGTGTCTTGTTCTAACGTAAGGCTTTTTTTAAATTTCTGCCCTCAGGAAGTTAGCAGTTGCTACTTGCATTTTGTTAAGCTTGTTCAGTACTACAAGCACTGGGGACACAACAGTGATGCTCTTGGTCTTTTATATACATCTTATTCATATACATTTCCCTGAAATACACCTGTCACACAAGAGCGATATGATACCTGCGTGGCAGACTTCCAATACTATCTAAAACACTTTATGTTCTCAAAAAAAGTGTGTTTGTTTTTAAGTTATCTATACAAAATTGGGGGTGCAGTGGTTTACCCCTGTAACCCCAGCACTTTGGGAGGCCAAGGAGGAGGATCACTTGAGTCCAGAAGTTCAAGACCAGCCTGGGCAACATAGTGAGACCTCATCTCTACAGAAATTAAAATAAAAAATTAGCCAGACATGGTGGTTCTACACACCTGTAGTCCCAGCTACTTGGGAGGCTGAAGTGGGAGGATCACTTGACCCTGGGAAGTTGAGGCTGCAGTGAGCCATGATTGCGCCACTGCACTCCAGCCTGGGTGACAAAGCGAGACTGTCTCAAAAAAGAAAAGAAAAGATTGACTAAAAACTGATAATTATATTTTAAGCAACCTTTCCTTTGGTGACGTTAATAAGCATATTTTTAAAGAACAGTGTACTTAGTACTACTTTGAGCACTACTATCAGATTTCTGTAGGCAGTACTCTTCCTTGCTAATGTTAATCATCCATAAGATGTGCTAGTTCTGAAATGGGCTATTAAGTATCTTTTTGGGGATATATTTTAAAACAAATAAATATTCATAAACCTGATGAAAGCTGAAGTAGTAAATGTTATAAACAAATAATCTTGGCATATTTCAGTACTTGTTTACCACCACTTTAGCAGCCCACAAAAATTTTGCAATTTATTTCTATATTTGTTATTGTCCTCAGAAGGTTGTTTGTCCTTATGAGTGTTAGAAATTTGAAAAAATATTTTGTCAGTAGTTTAGACCATGTTTTTCATTTTTATTTCTATGTTTTTTTACAATCCAGTTTAAGTTCTTCACTACTTTTGGCTTTTGAAGATCTATGTTAATTTAAATTTAGTTAAATAACTACCTTAGAAACTATTGGTTTAGTTTGCCTTGAAAAAGCACAAAAAGCCTGTGAATATTTGCAAACTAACTTTTCAGAGCCTGGTCTTCTTTTTTTTTTTTTTTGAAACAGAGTCTCACTCTGTCACCCAGGCTGGAGTGCAGTGGCACAGTCTCAGCTCACTGCAGCCTCTGCCTCCCAGGCTCAAGCGATTCTCTTGCCTCGGCCTCCTGAGTAGCTGCGACTACAGGCATGTGCCACCATGCCCAGCTAATTTTTGTATTTTTAGTAGGATGGGGTTTCACCGTGTTGGCTAGGCTGGTCTTGAACTCACAGCCTCAAGTGATCCACCCACCTTAACCTCCCAAAGTGCTAAGATTACAGGCATGAGCCACCGTGCCCAGCCCCAGAATGGTTTCTTACTCAGTTTCAGTTTTCTAGCAAATCTCTATTGACACAAAACAAGACTGCAAGGCTACTCTCCTGCTAATGATAGGCTAGAGCCAATTTTTACTAAAATATTCATTTTGTAAAAAATAAAAGTAGTGAATCACACTGATTAGGCAATGGCTTCCTATATACAGTACCAAAGCCTCAAAAACAAAAATAAATAAACTGGACTTGGAAAGTGAAAAGACAATCCATAGAATGGGAGAAAATATTTGCAAATCATATATTTGGTAAGAGTCTACTATGCAGATTATATAAGGGACTCTTACAACTCAAGAATAAGAAGATAAATAGTCTAATGAAAAACTGGGCAAAGGATTTGAATAGACATTCCTCCCAAGAAGATATCTGAATGGCCAAAAGGCACGTGAAAATATGTTAACATTAGTAGTCATGGAGAAATGCAAATCACACCACCTCACGTGAGATACCACTTCACAACCACTAGCAAAAAGACAGACAATAACAAGTATTGGTTAAGATATGTAAAAACTGTAACCCTCAGGCATTACTCTTGGGAATGTAAAATGGTGCACATTCTTTACATTGAGTTACCGTGTGACCCAGCAATTCCACTCTTGGTTATATGTATATCCAAGATAATTGGAAACATATCCATACAAAAACATATTCATTAATGTTTATAGCAGCATTAGTCATAGTAGCCAAAAAGTAGAAACAACCCAAATGCCTACCAAATAATTAATAATGGATTAACACAATATGGTGTATCCATATGCTGAAGATTATTCAGCCATAAACAGAAGTGAAATAGTGAGACATGCTACAGCATGAACCATGAAAACATGATGCTAAGTTAAATAATCCAGACATAAAAGCCACATATTGTATGATTCCACTTATACAAAATATCCAGAATAGACAAATCCATAGAAATACAGAGTAGATTAGTGGTTGTCAGGGTGTGAGGGTGAGGGAAATGGGAGTGAGTGCCATATAGGTACGGAGTTTCTTTTTGGTGTGATGAAAGGGCTCTGAATTTAATGGTGATGTTTGCACAGCTTTGTGATAATACTGAAAACCACAGAATTGTACACTTTAAAGGATGAATTCTGTGGTATGTGAGTTATATTTAAATGTTGAAAAAGAAGCCACACTTGTCATTTTAATTCAAAAATTGTATGAAGGAATTTAAGTGGTTTTAAAAAATTCAGTAGTTTTGAAGTGTAAATCATGTAAGTGCCTTTATGGAGAGACCACTTAAATTCGGCTTGTTGAACTATTTCCTAAGGAATATTAAATAGTTCTAAGTTAAAAACAAAATATACTTTTTTTTTTTTTTTTTTTTTTTTTTGAGATGGAGTTTCGCTCTTGTTGCCCAGGCTGGAATGCAATGGTGCAATCTTGGCTCACTGCAACCCCCGCCTCCCCAGTTCAAGTGATTCTCCTGCCTCAGCCTCCCAAGTAGTTGAGATTACAGGCACCCGCCACCTCACCTGGCTAATTTTTTTTTTTGTATTTTTAGTAGAGACGGGGTTTCACCATGTTGGTCAGGCTGGTCTTGAACTCCTGATCTCAGGTAATCCACCCTCCTCAGCCTCCTAAAGTGCTGGGATTACAGGTGTGAGCCACTGCACCTGGCCTAAAACAAAATATACTTAATTTAGAAAAATAAACAAGAGAAAATAATAAGTAGACATCTTCTTTTCCTTTTATATTGCTAATGTGTGCATTCTACATAAACTGCAATTTTTTTTTTTTTAGTCAGTAATTCTCATCTCAAACTTTTAGTGTTCCAGTGTTTGTTTAAAATGCAGATCCCAGGGCCCTACACCATACTTATTAAAATTGGTTCTGGTGGTTTCTGGAATAAGCCCTGGAATAACTCCCTAGGTGATCCTGATGTAGGTGGGGTTCAAATCTCTTGCCTTAGTTGGCATATTTTAAATTTGCTTTATTTCAAGAGGAAAATGATAGTGGGGAAAGAAAAATTCTTAACTGCTAAGAATTAGTTCACAGGTGCTTTGTAAATATTATTCAGAATACAGTTGAGTGATCCCTGTTGTTCTAATGCTGGTGTTGACCCTGCGCCATTGAGGAGTAGAGTTGTGATCATTAATTGTTTTTTGTTTTTATTTTGTTTTGTTTTGTTTTTTTGAGACAGAGTTTCACTCTTGTTGCCCAGGCTGGAGTGCAATGGCGTGATCTCGGCTCACTGCAACCTCTGCCTCCTGGGTTCAAGTGATTCTCCTGCCTCAGCCTCCCGAGTAGGTGGGATTACAAGTGTGTGCCACCATACCTGGCTAATTTTTTTTTTTTTTTTTTTTTTTTTTAGTAGTAGAAATGGGGTTTCTCCATGTTGGTCAGGCTGGTCTTGAACTCCTGACCTCAGGTGATCCTCTCACCTCGTTGTCCCAAAGTGCTGGGATTACAGGCATGAGCCATTGCACCCAGCCATTAATTCTTTGTTGTTGTTTTCCTATGTATGGAGTTCATGGTTTGCTTTCTATTTGGCTTCATAAATACTGCCTCGGCAATATAATATTTCATGATATGTGGATAGTGTTAAAACAAAGCCAAGAAGTCCAGCATATCTTCCTAGAGTTAGTAATAGTGCAGCAGAAGATGTTATTCACAAAGAAAATAGCACTATTCATTTGTCATCAGGATGTATGCTATGAGTTATTTCCTGTAATGATGATAGTTTTTTGTTTTTTGAACCATCTCCAGTATAATTCCCTTTTCAACTAATAGCATAGATGTGTGACCCTTTGCTGAGATCAGGGACCTGTCTTTGACCATGAAATGTACTTTTCTCAATGTGAACCCAGCTGGGCTCTATGGGATTGAACCTATAACCTGACTCATTATTGCTGTCTTCTATCCATTTTAACCAACCAGCATTCTTTTTTTTCTAATACAAACTTGATATTTAAATTTGTATCTGCTGGTGATATTTCTAATTATGGAATTTTTGTATATAGGAATTTAATGATGAATTCTGATCTGCTTTTTTTTTTTTTTTTTTTTTTTGAGCTAGAGTTTCCCTCTTGTTGCCCAGGCTGGAGTGCGATGGCGTGATCTCGGCTCACTACAACCTCTGCCTCCCGGGTTCAAACGATTCTCTGGCCTCAGCCTCCCAAGTAGCTGAGATTACAGGTGCCCGCCACCACACCTAGCTAATTTTTGTATTTTTAGTAGAGGCAGGGTTTCACCATGTTGGCCAGGCTGGTCTCGATCTCCTGACCTCAGGTGATCCACCTGCCTTGGCCTCCCAAAGTGCTGGTATTACAGGCGGCATGAGCCACCATGCCTGGCCTGATCTGCTATTTTAATGTAGTGGCTTATTGTTAGTGTCTTTTATTAATGGGTAAATTAATACAATAGTAAGAATATATAACAAATTATTATTACATAAATAATAGTATAAAATAGCTAAGAAATCATTTTAGTGAATTTATATTCTGAATCTATCATTTTTTTTCTGTTCCCTGAGTGATTGCTAAGGTACATACTAGTCATAGTCATAACATTATTGTCATTCGATTTGAAGACATTTGTTTGTGCTCTTGCTTTCATCATGTGGTTATGGCAGGCTTTCTCTACATTACCTGTATGTTTAACTTACCTTTGGATGGTAGCTATGAGTTCTGTTTACCAGAGCTGTTTTGGCTCTTCTTTACCTGTCCACAGAGCAGCCTAACACCTTTACTTACAATGTGATTCCGTCTCTGATGCATATGAGTTGCTCGTGCTGTTTCCCAGCATTTTACATCCTGAAGTTGTTTTTAGTATCTGGACTTCCTTTTAAGAAAATTGACCTGGAGAGTTTACATTTATTTACATCCTTACACAATTAACATCTTTGAAATTATAGCACTTTAAAAATAATAAAAGCCATTAATAAAAGTATTTTTCATTTTCATCTGGAAACATGATTTACTTGCGTACAGAAGAAATAGAGGCTGTGAATGACTATAAACAGTTTATGAAAAGCAGCAGTTATTATTGTGTACCTTTTAGAGATAGCTGTCTAGTTCAGCAGACAGCAGTAAATGAGAAAAAAAATTCTTAACATTTCCTACCTTGAGGAGGGGTATTATACTCAATGGAGTACAAAAACCAAATTGGCAGGTAGTCAGCTATTATCTGTCAATCACTTATACATAAGAAGTAAGGGATCATGCTAATTAGTAAAATATCTATTTACGTCTGATGAACATAATTTTGAATGCTATTCAGAATGACAAGATATGGGACATTTAAGAAGGCATGCAAAGTCAGGTGATTATCAAGTGACCAAATATAGGTTTACCTGGTATGGGTATGGGTACCAACAAGGACAAGGCATTTTTTTTTTTTTTTTGAGACAGAGTCTCACTCTGTCCCCCAGGCTGGAGTGCAGTGGCATGATCTCCGCTCACTGCAACCTCCCCTTCCCAGGTCCTCAGCCTCCCAAGTAGCTGGGATTACAGGTGCCTACCACCATGCCTGGCTAATTTTTTGTATTTTTAGTAGAGATGGGATTTCACCATGTTGGCAAGAAAAACAAAACAAAACAAATAAATAAATAAATTGGTATAAAAAACATTTAAAACAAGTATGATAGACTCCAGGCTCCTATAAATGAGGCATTGATTTATAATCATGGTTAATTTTTTATATTAATTATAAAGTATATTATAAAACCTGACCTATGATCTCCTAAGTGGGTACATGTCTTATGGAAAGCTGGAGTTCTTAGAAAGACTTGTAGTAGTCAGTTAAAGGGTATGAGTTTCTCCTCCCCCACTTCTAGAATTAAAACAGTCCTCCATTTCTAAGGACTTTTAATCAAATCCTACTTTGCTTTAGCTGCTGCATAGTATAAGGGTCCTTTAATTTACTTGGTAGACATGTTTACTGCAAATGATATAGTTTTATGAGTGTTACCTTAAATGCTTAATCACAGATCCAGGTTTTCATGTGCAAAGCATTGCATAAACGAATACAGTTGCTTCTCCAGAGTGTTTTTGCTTTTGCCTCTTCCATGTTTGAAAGCCTAGGTCCAGTTTCTGTGTAGATTTTAGACTACTTGCTTATACTTTTAAATCCTAAATCTATATAAGGGACAGACCTGTGGATATGAATTCCTAGGGGAAGTTTTCCTATCCTAAGCCCAAGTCAAGACTAAGAGCTTCTTTTTTTTTTTTTTTTCCATTATTTTTATGGAGATGGGATCTTGCCATGTTGCTCAGGCTGGTCTTGAACTCCTGGACTCAGGTTATCCCCGACCTTGGCCTCCAAAGTAGTAGGATTACAGGCATGAGTCACCACACCCAGCCTCTTTTTCTTAAGTCCTGACTGGTAGGTAGATTCCCCTCACTCCCACCCCGACCTTTTCCCTGTGGGCATGGTTTCTTTGAGGGTCCCAGGTTTATATATAGGGAAATTTCACTTCCACCAACCTAAAAGAGGAGCCAAGGTCTCATCTACTTTTTCCATATGGGCATTAAAAACAAACTCCTAGCTGACTTTGACTAAGAAAAGAAAAAACAAAACAAAACAAAAACACCCGGGGTTATCTTTACCACTCTGTAGTACAATTGTTTGTTTGTTTATAGCTCCTGGGGATTTCTTTTGCTGTTTTCTTTCTAACACAGTGTTCATTTAAAAACTTATTTGTTATTTTTTTTCCTTTGTAATTGATAGACACAACAACTAAATGCAGTGTGGGATTCTGGGTTGGGTCCTCCGATAGAAAAAGGATATTGGAGAAAAGCTGGTTACACATTACAACCATGGTTTAGTACATATTTTCTGGTTTTGCTAATATTTCTTTGATTATATAAGTTGCTAACATTAGGGGAAGCTGAGTGAAGGGTATATACTTGAACTCTTTTACTATTTTTGTATTTCTTCTGGAAGTCTAAACTTATTTCAAAATCAAAAGGTTTTATTTTATTTAGGCGAAAACCACAATTTTGTGCCGACCTAAAAACATTTTTGTTTTATTCATCACTGCTGAGTGTTTTTAGTTATAGGGATTTCAATTTTATTTCTGAGATAAACTACCTAATATTTTAATAAAAGGAGTTGCCATAAAAAAAAAGTAAAATAAGGACACCTTTCCTTCTTCCAAATCTGTATTTCTAGCCTTTCTTTAAAAGTTAGACACAGTGTGGGGGTTGCATTACTTCATAGTAAAATCAACTGGAACTCAGCAATAGCCACCCCTGTAGATATAGGTAGGCATATCTTTCTAGATTTCTGCAGCCCTTCTCTCTCTCTAATGTGTTATATTGTTTGCCTAATTAATTATTTTTACCTATCTGGATTCCATAGATACTTAAATATGCAACCTTTGATCTAGCTCCAGGGGAGAGATCAGTGTTAGAGATGGAGATTTGGTGCTTATCTATAGTGAGTGATGGTCGAAGATAGAGGGTTTATGACTTCACCCTGCAATACCACATAGAGCCCAAAAATCCAAAAACAGAGCCCTGGGAAATAGTTTTCTTTCAGAAAACAAGAAGAGAAAGAGGAACCTATAAAATGGTATCAGGAGCAGTGATAGAAGAGTGCATTAGTGTTAAGTAGTAAGTAGAGGCTGGGCTTGGTGGCTCACACCTGTAATCCCAGCACTTTGTGAGGCCAAAGCGGATCACGAGGTCAGGAGATTGAGGCCAACATGGTGAAATCCCGTCTCTACTAAAAATTCAAAAAAAAAAAAAATACAGGTGTGGTGGTGCGCACCTGTAATCCCAGCTACTCGGGAGGCTGAGGCAGGAGAATCCACTTGAACTCGGGAGGCGGAGTTTGCAGTGAGCCGACATCATGCCACTGCATTCCAGCCTAGGTGACATAGTGAGACTCCATCTCAAAACAAAAAAAAAGTAAGTAGAGAGACTGTTTCAAGAGGAATTGGATGGTTAAAAATATGCTTCAGCGTGGTCAAAAGTAGCCAATCCTGATGTAATAATACACTTTTAATTTATTAATAGGTGTTCTGATTATCCTCCAGCATTACCCCCCAGGTCATTACCCACAACTCCCTTCTGTCCCCCTTATGCCTTGTAGGGCTGATCACTATGAAAAACAGGAGACAGGACTGCAGGAGGAGAACGGGGTCACATTTTTTCTTGCTCCCGCTTCCTGCCTGCTTCAGGGCTGTAGGCCCTCTACAGCAATAGTTAAAGCTACAGCTACAGCCAGACAGCCTCCCTTCTATAGCTTTAGCACTCAACGAGCTTCAGTAATACTAATTCCCCCCCTTACTCTTACAGGCTTATGGGTTATATGCCCTCTTGTTGTTACAAGCCTGCAGGTTTCTCAAAATAGTTTGTTGGTTCCCTTGATGCTTTTTGTGAATAGAACCTTTATTAAATTATCTTCAGATTTTCATCTGATTATGTCTTCTGTTTCCTGCTAGGACCCTGACCGTACACTGAGTATATTAGTTATGGTTCAGGCTAAGCTATTCTTTCGGATGTTTAAGCAACTGTATTTTGGAGTCTTACTATTTCTCATTCACATACTTAAGAATTATACACTTTTGATATGTTATATGTACCAGTTGAGTATCCCTTACCTGAAATGCTTGGGACCAGAAGTATTTCAGGTTTTGGATTTCCTTTACATTTTGGAATATTTGCACTATACTTACGGTTGAGCATCCCTAATTCAAAAATCTGAAATCTGAAATTCTTCAATAAGCATTTCCTTTTAGCATCATGTTGGTGATCAAAAAAATTTCAGACTTTGGAGCATTTCGTATTTTGAATTTTTGGATTAGGTATGCCCAACCTGCAGTATCATTTATATCTTCTCGTTTTTCTCTCATGTAATAGTACAGAGAGCAGGAGTCTGAAGCTGAGAATGAATCTTCCAGCTATAACATGTGACTCCCATCTCTGGGTTCAAGGTGGGTCTACTTCATAGCCAGTAAGAAGAAGGAAAGGAACTATGCCCATTCCTTTTGAGATGAGCAACTGGAAGTGGAACACATTACTTCTGTTTATATCTCATTAGCCATAACTTGAGCACATGGCCTTATCAGGTTATAAGGGAGACAAGGAAATGTGTCTCTGGCTAAGTGAAATTTTTATTATTAAAGAAAATAAGGAGTGGTTAGCAGATAAAAAACAGCAGTCTCTGCCACAATAGTTCACTCTCATAGAGGGAGAAACGTTTCATCCGTACATAAAAGGGAGAGTATTGGAAGTTTTCATGGAGTGTTTGTGGTAAAATCTAGATTTCAAGGAATTGAGTGAAGGAGTGAAGATTACAGAGTGGGTGAACGTGGCTTTTGAGAAGTATGGTGTCCATGAAAGAAGAGGTGATTCTGGGATGTTAGTGGAGTTAAAGAATAAATTCTTTTTAGGTAGCAGAATCTGGAGCAGATAATAGTCTCAGAAAAGGAATATCTTAGAAGGGGAGAAACTGAAAACCAGTACATAGCATATTTTTAGATGGTATGAGGGCACTGAATTAATATAGAAAGTGGATAACACTTTCTACTCCAAACACAGGGAAAAGAGGAGAGGTAAGGTTGAAATATAAACATTATGCAATGGAGAAGAAAAAAATCAAGAAAAATTTAATGATGTCCTCATTTTGAAGTCAAAGGCCAGCCAGATACTCTTCTGAGAAGGAAAGTGTGGCAGCTGTGTAATTGAGGGCAGCTACTGAAGGAAATATGATGTTAGTGAACTAGAAACACAAAAATAGTGAGTATTTTGAGGGTCAGCTGAAGATAGCTTGGATTTATAGTAAAATTATTAGTATATGTTTTGATTTTTCTCTAACAAATTATGGCAGCCCATATGTAGAAGCCAGAAAATTAGATCATGGGATTCACCAAGATTAGGGATTAACAAAGTAGGTATGGAGAGCAGTCAAGTTGATGAGAGTCTAGGTTACATCTTAAAAACCTAGTTGAAAATAACCACCATGTGGTTCAGTGTGGGTTCAAACAGGTAAAGCAGGTCTGAGAAAAATATGGACCAGGAGTTGTATTGGTTGTTTGTTGCTATGTAATAAATTACTCAAAAATACAACAGCTAGAACAACAATAAACATTTCTTTTTTTTTTCTCATAGTCTCTTTGAGTAAGAAATTTGAGAGTGGCTTAGCTAGGTGGCTCTGGGTCATAGTCTCTCTCTCTCTCTCTCTCTCTCTCTCTCACACACACACACACACACACACACACACACACACACACACACACACACGAGATTGTAGTCAAGCTGTTTGCTGAGGCTGCAGTCATCTGAATGTATGACCGAGGGTGGAATATCTGCTTCCAAAATGTCTCGCATTGTTGACATGTTGGCAGGAGGCCTCAGTTCCACATGACACTCTCCATAGGATTGCTTGAGTATCCTCACCATATGGAGCATTTCTCAGATCAAATGATTCAAAAGAGAGGAGGAGGGAAGCCACAATATCTTTTATGACTAGTCTTCGAACTCCCACTGTCACCTCTGCACTATCTTATTGCTTACACAGGTCAGCTGTACTTAGTATAGGAGATGAAAATCATCAAGGGCCATCTTGGAGGCTGGCCATCACAGGAGGAGAACTAATATCTAGTAAGAACTTACTGCGTACCAGGCATATAATTTAATAATAAGGATATTTTATAAGGAACATATTGTTTTTACATTTAAATGAGGAATAAATTGAAGCTTTAAGAAGTTAAGTATTGCCCAAGATTTCAAAACCATTTTACCCAGGCTATGACTCCAGATCTTTTGGATTTTTTTTCTTTTCCTTTCCTTTTTTTTTTTTTTTTTGGAGATGGGATCTTGCTCTGTCACCCAGGCTGGAGTGCAGTGGCATGGTCTGGGCTCACAGCCTCCCTACTAGCTGGAACCACAAGCGTGTGCCACTACATACAGCTAATTTTTGTAGAGAGGGTGTTTCGCCATGTTGCTCAGGCTGGTCTTGAACTCCTGGGCTTAAGTGATCCTCCCACCTCAGCCTCTCAAATTGCTGGGATTACAGGCATGCGTCACCATGCCCAGCCAACATTTTCAATAATATTTTATACAGAAATAAAATACGGTGTAGTGGTTTGGTGCACCTACTTTGGAGACATAAAATTGAGAATTAATTGATATTATTTATAGAAATTATCACAGTACTCAAATAAATAGTAAGCAAACACTTACTGGTTGTTTTTATTGTATTATCTTTGTAATTTAAGAACTAAAAGGAGTCACAAGAAGTTAGCATAACGAGCATCTGACAGAAAAATTAACTGATAGAATAAGAGATAATGGTTCATGCAGACTTGAATCACATGGCTTATTAAATCAAAGGTACATTAATGCTTAAAAGTGGCTAAAATGAGTAGAAAAGGAAGGCTTCCAGAGAAGAACCATTAGATGAAATGCTGAAGCTATCAAGAATGATGACAAGGAATAGGACTATGAACCAAAGGCTGAAATAATTGAAGAAAATGAAATATGCTTCATAAAGGCAGTTCATAATTTGTTTAAGGATAATTTGAGGAAATATTTTTAGGATAGGAATATAGACAGCATTTAAAACTTTAAGCTTTATGGTATCTTGAGTGTTAATTCATGTGAGTCACATTTTTACCTAACAAATATAGAAAATAGCATTATTTAATATTATATATTTATAAAATAAGTTATATAATATTGCTTAAGCTTGTTTTATGTTCTCAGCTCTCTGCTTTCCATGTACCTTTGGACATACTTGTTTTCCTGTGTCTCCATTAGACTGGAGTTCCTCCAGGGCAAGTATAGAATGCCTCATTTGTCTTTATCCCACAGGACACAGCCAGAGTACCCTGAACATAATAAGAGATATAAATATTAGATAAATAGTAGCTTGCGGCCAGGCGCGGTGGCTTGTGCCTGTAATCTGACACTTTGGAGACCGAGGCAGGCAGATCACCTGAGGTCAGGAGTTTGAGACCAGCCTGGCCAACATGGTGAAACCCCATCTTTACTAAAAATACAAAAATTAGCCAGGTGTGGTGGCGGGCGACTGTAATCCCAGCTACTCAGGAGGCTGAGTCAGGAGAATCGCTTGAACCCAGGAGACAGGGGTTGGAGTGAGCCGGGATCACGCCACTGCACTGCAGGCTGGGTGACAGAGTGAGACTCTGTCTCCAAAAAAAAAAAAAAAAAAAAAAAAAAATTTAGTAGCTTGCAGCTCATGCTTTTCAACCTACTATGAAAAGGAGATAGATTATATATTAATATTGATACTAGAACATGTTCATATACGTGATATGAAAAGTGTGAGTTTAATTAATTAAATGTGTTAATTAATGCTTCTTTCTCTGTAGGCCGTGGCACATTTGGTGGGAATGAAGGGTTTGAGATCCTTCTTTTGGGTTCCATACTCCTTTCGCTTTAGAAAGTAGCAATTGAAACCCATAATATGTGCCAGCAACTTTCTTAGGCATGAGATATTCTTTGGAAGACAAAGAAGAGGAGAAAAATATAAACATCATGTTTTAAAAAATTATCAGTTTTATTTTTTGGAGCAGTTTTAGTCTTACAGAAAATTTGAGCAGAACCTTTAGAGAGTTCTCATATATACCTCTTACTATTCCTCATCTCAGTACACCATATTATTAACATCTTGCATTAGTGTGGTACACTTACTGTGTTATAACTGATGAGCCAATATCAATACATTATTATTAACTAAAGTCTTTGGTTTATATTAGGGTTCACTTTTATGTTAGACTTCCTGTAGGTTTTGACAAATGTATAGTACCATACAGAATAGTTTTACTGTCCTAAAAATTCCTTATGCTCCACCTATTCATTCCCCCTTCCTCCTCCACTCCTGGCAACCACTGATCTTTTTATAGTCCCCATAGTTTTGCCTTTTCCAATGTATCATATAGTTGGAATCATATAGTATGTAACCTTTTCAGATTGGCTTCTTTCATTTAGTAGCATGCATTTAAGATTCCTCTATGTCTTTGTGTGACTTGATAGCTCATTTCTTTTTATTTTGGAATAATATTCCATTGTATGGATGGACCATAGTTTGTTTATCCATTCACCTACTAAAATATATCTTGGTTGTTTCCAACTTTTGGCAATTGTGAATAAAACTTCTGTAAGCATTTATGTTAAGGATTTTGTGTGAGCATAAATTTTCCTCTCATTTGGGTAAGTACCAAAGAGTGCAACTGCTAGATCATATGGTAAGAGAATGTTTAGTTTTGTAAGAAACTGCCAAACTGTCTTCCACTCCACAAAACATTATTTCTTAATGTATTTTGGTAAGTTTTAAGATAGAGTTATCACAGTGGAGGCGTTGAGATAGAAGTATCATAGTTAAACTAGAAGAGGCTAGAAATTGAGCAGTCATGAAGAAAGCACTGGGAGCCCTAAGGCACGTGTACAAGGCTGTCAAAAAGATCAAGAACATGTCAGCATCATAATTTGTAGTATGATACTTGGAAGAAAAGTTCAAATGTAATAATGGAGGACTCTTTAAAAAATGCTGCCTCACTAATGCTCTTATAAAGGCATGGAGGACAGTACTATATGGAGAAACACAGAAATCAACACCTTTGAATCAGGAAGCATTTCAGAAGAGGTAGACTCTCAAACATTTTACAAATATTTCATTTATATTTTCTTTTTTATATACGTACAATACTTAGCAAAATCTGTCAAAAAGTTTGATAGTTCTTTCAATGAATCTAAAGTTAAAATTCTGCATAAGTAAGCATTTTGTTATAATTATTTTGCAGCTCTTATATTTCTTAGCAGTACCTGAAACAAAGGTGTTTGGTCTAAAAAAAAAAAGTATATTTTTTTAGGCATCATATGTTTGTATGTGTTCAGTGGGTCTCAGCCAAAGGTTGTTGAACCATTAGAGCCACCACAGCAATTTCTAAGCATTCTGAACATAGTACATTTACCTATAAAAAGGCAACCTGGGTTAAATTCAACCTTCTTGTGCTTTCAGCTAAATTATATCAGGTTAGCACCACTGGTTATCTCCTAATCAGAAGGTCTGGCAGATATATGCATCTTTGTGAGATTATTTTATAACATTTGATTATTTGATAACATTTTGCAAAACATGATGTCCATGGAGAAGAGAAAGAATGAGATAGTTAAAAGACATCAAGATTATATTAAGAGGACCACCTTAATATGTAATATTTTAATGACATCTTTTAAACAAATTTTACACCTAGTAATACTTACTTTTGGGCCTGAAATTGACTAAGTCTTCAAACATCTATTTATCTACTAGGAATATTGAGTCTTATAACCAGTGTTTAATTAATCTGACTCAAGGTTCATTTATTTTTAAAAAAGAAAGAAGGAAAATAGCTGTTTGGGAACTATCAGCTTCTGAGTCTCCAGTCTCTTATTCCCACAGTCCATACACCATCAGATATTTGAACACTCCAAACAGTTTAATCTGTTTTCAGGCTATGTGCCAGTGAAACCAAATATGGTACACAAAAAGACATCTATCCTGTTAACATGAGTGAGAGGAAGAGAACAATTAGATAATGCAGTAATGTCTTTAGATGTGTACAGAAGAAGCTCTTTTTAGAATATGTTTTTTAAATTACTTGACATCACCTTGTGTAAGTTAAACAGGATTTGGTTCTCAGTATTTTCTTCCTTTAGAGCTGTCTTTCCAAGAAGGATGATTAAGTGAAATATAAACATCCACATGAAAAGTGGACTGGTTTTCAAACATTTTAGTGATTTGTTTTTTTAAATAAACAACTGATCGTTGTTACCTTTAGTGAAGATACAGTATTCCTTAGATTGTTACATAATGAAAAGTAAATTTTAAATGTTTTTGTATATACATAGCCTGAAAATGCTTCAGTAATGTTCTAACTTAGATGCTGTTTAAATTTAACTTTTGTTAGACTGTTAGCCAGTACTCTGTATGTGCTGTCCAGAGTGATAATGTGATGCCATATGGTGGGTATAAAACAACCTTTCATTTTCTAAAAAATTGTAGTTTAATGGACAATTTTGCTTTATAGTATTTTTTTTTCCTTTTTAAGGAAGTATCTGAGTTTTTAAATCTTGTGTTAAAGTAGTACCACTGATGGGAACATTTTCTGGAGCTCAGATAATGAACAGTAGTTTTCTCCGAAGGTAAACTGTGAATTGGGGGTATTATGAAGTGAGCACTGAAATCTCGGAGGACTACAGCAGCATAGCATATTGTGAAAATCTGGAACCGGCACCTTGAGAGAATGAGGATTAACCCCCTTGAGTTATTAATGGCTGAGTTTGAAGGATACCTCACTGTCCCTGTGTTGCTTTCAATCCTTTTTTATAGCACATGGTGGCCTTTTAAAAATACAGTAATATACTATTTCTTAGTCTATGTCTTTTTAATATTACCATTTCTAAAGTTACAGAAAATATCCAGAGATAGAGTTTAGGGATTATATTGACAATCTTAAATGCGTTTATGTTGCCTTTTTAAGATGCCATTTATTATCAGTATAAGGAGAATATTCTTCATAGAAGAATATGAACGAATTAGCTAAAACATTCGGATAGACATTTATCCCTTTCTTCATGCTTTTTATTGGAATGCATTACTAAAAGTAGCTTAGGGTATAAGCAAATTACTTCATTTTGATTCTAGATGCTGAGCTCCTAATAGCTTTTAAATTTATACAGTTTTTGTTTAGCTGTCAAAACATTTAATTATATCATGCCCAAAGGTGTAAAGCTGTCAAATAAATCCGAGTTTCGGCATAAACATTTGCTAAGTTACATGTGCTACTTACGCTGTAGTTGTTACTGGGCAGCTTGTGAACCTGTTTTTGGGGGAGGGGTGTGCCGAGGAACATTAACTCAGCAGGTACAGAACAACATTGGCCCAATGAATTGATGATTACTTGTAAAACAGCAGGCAGTAATGCCCCAAGTCTTTGTAATTCCTCTTTTTATAAAATAAAGCAGGCCAGAGAGTGTGGTGGATTCTTTGGCTCAATTTGCACTGTAAGAAAACTGTCTTTTTGCAAAAATATGTGTTCTTTCTTTCCTTACCTCCACCTTATTCTCTGGTTTCTCTTCAAAAACAGATGTACCCCATTTATGTTTTACTTCTCCCTCATTCTAGAGTAAAGGAAGTGCTGTAACTAATCAACAATTAATTATAAATTATAAGTTTAGTTTTCTAAAACACTTTTAAAGAAAGGAAAATTTAAAAAATTTTAATTAGCCTTAATATCTAGTTATTCTATAAATAAAATTTTTAGTATTTGATGACGTTATTTGGAGGTAAATTTGTTAGCATAAATACTAATGCAGACTTCACTAATGCAAAATTCACTAAGAGGTAGGGGAGTAAAGTAAATTAGTTCTACTTTGAAGCTTTTATTTTCTTCCCCTTTCAAAATGAATGGGAAGGCCCTTGAGAGGCCCTTGAATGAAAGCTGCTTTTCATTAGTGCTACCAAATACCTACTTGAAAGAGTTGAGTTCTAACTGAACACCCACACAAGAGAAAGGGAAAGCTTCCTTTTTCTACTGGAGGACCATCAGCTAAATAGCTCTTGGCTTCTCTTTTCCAATCAGGTGGTTTCACATCAGAGTTAATTACTCCAGTCATTTATTCTAATCACCCTCCTCTTATGGCTAGCTGCATTCTGTCATGGGGTGGCATCGTTTGAAGCCAGTTAAGTTTGAAAACCACTGCAGGGTACTTGAGGCTCATTAGTGAGGCCTATCCATGCCTGGCTTTGGATTTGCTCCCTGATTAACTCTGCATCTCTCGGCCTAGCTCCCTCCTCTCACTGTCCACCAGCCCCCACTCCTCCATGCAGTCTCTCAAACAGGAATGTTTCAATTAACTCTTGCCATGCTGTTTGTCTTTTCACCTCATATTTAAGAAAAATTTAAATGCTTAGATTGCTTCTAATATATTTTGCTAGATTCTGACCTATAACTGCATCCTATGAGTTGAATTTAACTACAGTGGTAGACATTCTACAAAAAGAGTTATATTTTTGAAGAACAAAGGAGGAAAATAGTAGCCTCAGAGTGAATACAGTTATGTCCTTTATTCAGTTCTCCTAATCTAATAAAGATAGTGATTCTAACTCATATTTTATAGTATTCTAATATGTCTTACCAGCTATCATAGGGGTTGTCTGAAAGGCTTAAAAAAAATCTCAAAACAGCCTTATTCTTTGAGACTGTTTTTTCTTATCAGTTATAGTATTTTAATTTAAAAGCATTTGTCAAATGGTACATTTAAGAGATATTAAAATCACAAAAACAAATAATGTTTGTGCTATACATTTTTTAAAATAAAAAAATCTAATCAATATTTTGAATAGTTTGAGCAGTGTTATTACGTGGAAGTATTTAAGGTATTTTCCAAATATTAACAGAAACGTAGAACCAATCGGGTAGTTACATGAAAATGTTTAAGTAGGAAATAACAGAAATTTTCTCTGTTATTTCTGCATAGTAGTTTGATTTAAGGAAATCAAATAGTTCATGTGTCAAAATATAGAAATTAAAATACATGAAATCACTTTTTTTTTTTTTTTTTTTTTGAGACAGAGTTTCACTCTTGTTACCCAGGCTGGAGTGCAATGGTGGGATCTCAGCTCACCACAACCTCTGTCTCCCTGGTTCAAGAGATTCTCTTGCCTCAGCCTCCTGAGTAGCTGGGATTACAGTCATGCACCACCATGCCCAGCTAATTTTGTATTTTTAGTAGAGATGGGGTTTCTCCATGTTGGTCAGGCTGGTCTCGAACTCTTGACCTCAGGTGATCTGTCCATCTTGACCTCCCAAAATGTTGAGATTACAGGCGTGAGCCACCGTGCCCAGCCTAAAATCACATTTTCATAAGTTGCTAATGTCATGGACGTTTAGAAATTTGCAGAATGAACTCCTATTATTAACTATTCCTAAAATAGTTTTTTTGTTTAATGGATTGGTTATTTATTAAGAGTCTTTGGACTTAGCAACTAATATATTGGTATCATTCTCTGTCTTGCTCTAAAGGCTGTTTATTTTTAAAATATCATAATGAGGCCGGGTGCAGTTGCTCACTCCTGTAATCCCATCTCTTTGGGAGGCCAAGGCAGGCAGATTGCTTGAGTCCAGGAGTTCGAGACCAGCCTGGGCAACATGGTGAAACTCTGTCTCTACAAAACATAAAAAAATTCGCCGGGTGTGGTGGCATGCTTGTAGTCCAGCTACTTGGGAGGCTGAAGCCAGATGATCACTTGAGCTCAGGAGGTCGAGGCTGCAGTGAGCTGTGTTCACACCACTGCACTCCAGCCAGAGTAACAAAGTGACACCCTGTCTCTCTCTTTCTCTCTCTCTCACACACACACACACTTTCTCTCTGTGTGTGTATATATATTATGATATATATTTATGATATACATTTTTATGATATTTTATTATGATATAAAATATTATAGTGAATATATGGTTACATTAATGAAAAAGAGGCCTAGAATATAAATTTCTTATCCAGCTCAATAAATATTTATTGGGCATCTACTATATGCTCAGTTCCAAGAATACAGGTATAATCTATACCTTCTAGGAGCTTACATTCCAGTTAATAAAAGAGAAAAATAAGCTGTAATACAAGTTGAAAGTATTGGTTTTAAAAATGCATGTGTCAAAGCAAAAAACCAGTTGAAAGAACAGTAAAACCTGTAAATAAAGCCTCCAGATCAACATGGCACACCAGATTTAGTATATACTCAGCAATACTTGTTACTAGTATTTCTAAATGATATATGTGAAACCAATGAAAAGTAATCCATGTTATGTAGTGGTTTCATATTTTTAGAGTTTTCATATTGCAGCTTTGGTTCAAAAGGATGTGTTGTGGTTAATATGGCTTTAGGAGTCAGAGAAATCTGGGTTCAGGTCACAACTCTGACATTTACTAGCTGTGACATCAGACAATTTGCTTAAGCATTCTTAGCTTCATTTGTAAAACAGTTTTTAAAAATGTGGTGCTTATAGGATTATTGTAAGGATTAAATAAAATAGTCCATGTAAAACATTTAGCATAAAGCTGGGCACAGCATAAATACTCACTAAATGTTAAATGCTGCTGGTATTGTTATAGTGTGGTGGTGGTTGTTTAGTTGGACAGTGCATTTCCCCCAAGTTGACCTCTAGATGCATTTTCTTTGCATAACATACTGACTTTCTTGAGCTTTTGTCAAGTGTATTAGGGATATCATTTGCATCTGTCTTCTGGACACTATTGAAGAGAAAATAAAACCTTGAAAGATGATACTTTAATATCCACTTCACTTTTTTTTCCTTCCCATGTAATCATTCTACCTCAAATTTGATTGTATGGTTAACAAACTGCAGACAGCTCATTTTGCAGTGGCTAGTAATCACAGAAATTTTTCAAATTTTCTATAACTCTGCCAAACCAGCACTGTATCAACCAAGTAAAGTGGCTATGGTCAATTTCACGCTTCTTAAACAGTGCTTTAAGATCTAGTCCCTCAGCATAGACATTGAATTGCGGTAAATCAGAAGAATTTCTTAAATGCCATTCATTCATTCAACAGACATGTATTAGGGGCCTACTGGATAATTAGATCTGTGATCACAAAATTGGAAGACTGTGACACCTGCCCTTTGGGGCTGCCATTATGAGAAGCAGACAGACATGACAGTAACTAATTAGAGAAATAGATTAAGCGATATAGTCATTCATTCTACAAATATTTTGTGAGTACCTACTACATACTGGTTATACAGCAGTGAGAAAGATGGTATATAGTACCTGCCCTTTTGGAATTTATTGTTTTGTAAGGGAAATAGATAATAAATAAAAAAGTAAACAAATATATAACTTGTGATAACATGTAATATAATAAATATACTTGTATATATACCATGAAGGAGTAGCAAGATTACCATGAAAGCATTTAACATTATGTGTAGAGAGAGACACAAAGAGAGAAAGAGAGAGAATAAATATATATTCTGGGACCAAAAGAGGAAATGCCTTGTTCTGTTTCTGGGGAAGGTTGAGGAAGGCTTAGCCAAGGAACCCATATGTAACCTTAGTCTTTGAGAATGAATAGGGGTTTGCCAGGCAGGGAGTAAGATGATGGAATGGACATTACAGATATAAGAAGCGCTGTGAACAAAGATATCAAGGTTATAGTACTGTACATGAGCTAAACTGTTTTTTGTTTTGTTTTGCTTTGTTTTTTGAGACAAGGTCTCTCTCTGTCACCCAGGCCGGCATACAGTGGCACAATCACACCTCACTGCAGCCTCAACTGCTCAGGCTCAAGTGATCCTCCCACATGAGCCTCCCAAGTAGCTGGGACTACAAGCACTCTACCATGCCTTGCTATTTTTTATTTTTTATTTTTTTGTATTTTCAGTAGAGATGGGGATTCATCATGTTGCCCAGGCTGCCAGGCTGCCAGGCTGATCTCAAGCTGCTGGGTTCAAGTGATCCACCTACCTCAGCCTCCCAGTGTGCTGGGAATACAGGCATGAGCCACTGCATGCAGCCACATGAGCTAAACTTAATTCAGATGGTAGACTGAAGTATGTGTTTGAGAGAACTGTGGGTGGTGTGTATGGAAATATATGGCTGGAGGCAGATTGTACGATAAATCTTTAATGCCTCGTAAATAGTATGGACTTTTTTCTTTGGGGAGGTGGTGGCCAAAAGGAGTTCCTGGACCAGCAGCATCAGTATCACCTGAGATCTTGTTATAAGGGCAAATTCTTGGACTCTGCCCCTGATCTACTGAAACAGAGACTGTGGATTGGAGCCTGTTTTAACAAGTTCTCCAGCTAATTTTGGTGTGTGTTAAAGTTGGAGATCCACTGCTTTAGGGAAAGGAGAAAAGTTTTAAGGAGAGCAGTGACTTGGCTAGGTTTTAGATAGCAGTTCATATGGAGGAGGGATTGAAAAGGGAAATTTTAGAGATAAAGAAACAGTTTGGATACCGATAGAATAACTGAACAAAGAAATCATGAAGCATGAAACCAAAGGTAGTCCCAGTGAAAGGAAAAGAAAGAATGACTTGGGAAGATATTTAGGAGGCTTATTGTCTGATAAAATTTTGTAGGGAGAGGGGAAAGGAGAAGTCAAGATGACTGCCACATTTCTGAATTGGCTGACTAGATGAAGGACCTAGTCCCTCACCAGAAAGACAAGAAAAGGAGCAAGTGTCAGAGGAAATACTATTCATTTGGTTTTTGATATATTAATTTTGAGTTATGTGAAGCACACCAAAAAAAGTAGTGTGATGGGCGAGGCGCGGTGGCTCATGCCTGTAATCCCAGCACTTTGGGAGGCCGAGGCGGGCAGATCATGAGGTCAGGAGATCGAGACCATCCTGGCTAACATGGTGAAACCCCGTCTCTACTAAAAAATACAAAAGATTAGCCAGGCGTGGTGGCGGGTGCCTATAGTCCCAGCTACTCAGGAAACTGAGGCAGGAGAATGGGCATGAACCCGGGAGGCGGAGCTTGCAGTGAGCTGAGATCACGCCACTGCACTCCAGCCTGGGCGACAGAGTGAGACTCCGTCTCAAAAAAAAAAAAAAAAGTAGTATGATGGGCAGTTGGCATTTTGTATTTGAAGCTCCAGAGAGGTAGTAATTGTTGGTTGAAGTAATTGAAGTGTGGCTCATCTAGCCTGGGTTATACCAGAGGCAGAGGGCCTGGGACTGAATCTTGAGGAGAATAAATGCTGAAATGTTAGAGGAAAAAGACCCTATATTAAGAAAATGAATAGGAAAATCAGAAATGTAGAAAGAGAATCTGGAGAGAGAGTGTCAAGCGAGAAGAAGAAAGAGAAACAAACACCATAATGCAGAGGTGAAATGAGAAAAGATGAGCATACACTGGATTCAGACAGTTAGTAATCTTTGCAAAAACATTTTCAGTGGTGTGCCTGTAACAGAAAGAGGAGAAACTAGTTAAGAAGTGAAAGGGAGGTAAGGAAACATAAATAAGAAATGTATTTAACTCTTGCAAGAAGTCTCTATTGTTGACCTCATATTGCATATGTATTCATGGCTACTTAAAAATAATTTTAAAAGACTGACCCTATTAACTAATCATTATTTAATCGAAAATGCAGAAAGAGTCAGACCCAAAATTTTGGGAATCAGAATGTTATTGTAGATGTTAAAAAATCTCTAGGAGTAGACAGAGACTCGTTATCTGCTACTAAAATGAAGTGTCTTTTATGAGTTTTGTGAATACATACACATTACAGATGTCATATATCTGACTTTCAGCAAAGATTATGTCCCCTATACTAAGTTGTGGTCTATGGCTATATGGTAATTCTTAAAGTACATAACTGATAGAGCTGAGTAGCCAAAATTTAAGAACTCTAACTAAGGACCTTTAAGGATGGAAAGTTTATAGATTACAGCATAGTTGGTAGAATTAGCCCTTTTACCTTTATTATTTAGAGGATAGTCATAATGCCGTCTTTCAGATGCTGCCACATTTCCTCAGAGATCTATAAATGGCTGAAGAATATACACTGTAGGACATTATGTCTGTTTCACACTTGAAGATGTTACATTTCTGCTGTCATTTCCTAAGGTGTAGCCATTCTTCACGGCACTGAGAATTGTAATGGCCTCTTCAAAACTGCATTGAAGGTCATTTTAGTCTGGCAGTTACTTCGTACTTTGTAAGGTTTATCTTTATTTTCAGTAAGATAAGGTGTATTTTAAAAGTGTTAAGTATTGTTAACTCCTGCATTCTGTCTTGTATCAAAATCTGGATGCAGATTCAGTATTTGGAACTGAATAAAGCCTCACCGTCCAGTTGATAACCACTAGTCACATGTGGTTGTTGATCACTTGAAATGTGGCTAGTGTGATCAACATGTGCTGTCCATTGTAAGTGTAAAATGTATACCAGATTTCTGAGATTTAATACAAAATAATTTCTATGTTGATTACATGTTGAAATGATATTTTGTATATTCTTGATAAAATATTACCATGTCATTAAAACAGTTTTACTTTTTTTTTTTTTTTACTTTTTAAAATGTGGCTACTATAGGCTGGGCATGGTGACTTAAGCCTGTAATCCCAGCAATTTGGAAGGCCAAGGCAGGAGGATTGCTTGAGCTCAGGAGTTCAAGACTGGCCTGGGCAACACAGCGAGACCCTGTGTCATTTTTTAAAAAAAATTTTTTATAAATTAAAAAAATGTGGCTACTAGAAAATTTTAAATTGCATATCTGGCATGGATATATATCTGTTGGACAAAACTGGTATAAAATCCTTGGGGTGATTTTGTTACACAGAATTTTTTTGGCTTGTGCATTCCACTATTGAACATGAGCATATTTTCTTTTTTTCTTTTTTTTTTGAGACGGAGTCTTGCTCTGTCACCCAGGCTGGAGTACAGTGGTGTGATCTTGGCTCACTGCAACCTCCACCTCCCGGATTCAAGAGATTCTCCTGCCTCAGCCTCCTGAGTAGCTGGGATTACAGATGCGCGCCACCACGCCCAGCTAATTTTTTGTATTTTTAGTAGAGACGGGGTTTCACTGTGTTGGCCAGGCTGGTCTTGAACTCCTAACCTCGTGATCCACCCGCTTCGGCCTCCCAAAGTGCTGGGATTACAGGTGTAACCCACTGCGCCTGGTCAAACATATTTTAATACTTTAATAGTGTACAAACTTCCACTAAAATTCTCAGCCTTAGATCCAAAACAAAGGGTTAATTTCAAGTCTATAAAAGGAAGTCCAAAATATTAATACTAAGTTCAAAACTCAACTAATCTTCTACCATGTAAACAATTTCTCCTCTAGTATGGTTAAGGTTCAAACTGATCACCCAAAATTCCTTTTTCTTCACCCCTCACACTGGTAATCAGTTGCTGTAAGTAATAACTTGTATCTTAAATCTTTCTGAACTCTGTCCCCTCTTCACTCCGGATGCTACTTTCTTGATTAAGGCTCTCACTACCTCTCACTTAGACTATGAAAGTAGTCTTAGAGCTGACCTTTTGCTCCCCTTTCCTTCTTCCAAAGGGATGTCTCATTTCAGTATCCCCAGAGTCTAGCACAAGACCAATAGTAACCACTCAATAAATATTTACTGAATGAATAGATGAGAGAGATGCTAACATTAATAGAAAGTTGCAGAATGTATAATACTTTTAGTCCTATATAATATACAAGTATGCAATCGCATACACAAAGTAAATGCAGATGTAATTTGATTCTCTGGCAGAACTTAATGCTTTATATTCAGCAACTTTTGCTTTTTTTTAATTCAAGTTTTTCTTTATTGGATATTCTTAGGAGTAATGACATAATAAATGTTCTACTTTGCCAAGGATTTTGATTTGCCAGTATAAGTTTATGGCAGTCAGTCCAGGGAATCATTGGTGCCATGCAGACAGCTCCTTGTTTTTGTCTGGAGTCCTCATGGGATTAAACTACATCTGGCAATAAGTAGAGATTCTGGTCTGGCCATCTTCAAAGGCAAGAGACTGCTAGTATTTATCAGATCTATATGGATAAGCAAATGGGAAGGGATTAAATTTTTTTTATTTTGTTTTCCTTCCTTTTGTAACTGACTATATAATATAAAACCTACAGGAGTTCATACAGTAAATTAATACATTTTGTGATGGCTGCTGAAGAGGAAACATTCATTTTTCTATACCTAGGTGGATAATTGACCACTTTAAATTAATATTTTAATTACTTATGTCTATGTTTATAACTAGTTTATCTTAGAAAATATAACAGCAATATAAAGTCCTCAACATTAAGTTTCTAGGGATACTTTACTAATTTTTTAAAGAGTTGAACATCTAGTATACCTGTTTTAAACATTTTAATGTCTATAAATATTACAGCATCATGTTTGGAATTTGGAAGTTTTTGATGCATATTTATCTATGTGAGAAAGTTTACCTTTGAGCCTGTTTTAAGGCAGGCTAGTCTACCTTCCAAGTAATGGTGAGCCTGCCTTTCATACAGGCTGTGTCCTTCTCCTTATACTCTTCACATTCTTAGGAGGTTATTAGTCCTGGGACTCAGTTTACCTGTTATCAAAGCATATTAGCTCTGCATTTAACTAACAAAATAAAATAGCTTAATTCCAGGTACTTGTCATGAAGCACAATCTAGAACCTACCATTCAAAGCCTTTCTAAGAGAAATAATGTTTGTGCAAGATTATCTGAAGAATATGTGGTCTCCCCATTTGTCTATACTTTAAATCTATCTCAGGATTAACTCAGTCCCTCTGAGAGTTACATACCTGGATTCCATCATATTGCCAAGGGAGGAATTTCTTATCTCAGGAATAGAAATAATGTGTTTTTCCAGGCCATCTGGTTTGTTTTTACATTATGGTCATTTTTGTCTCCTGTAATTGTTCGTGTTTCTTTCTTTATGTTGCCTGCTAGAAAGCTTAGCAGCAAATACATGGCTCAGCATATATAGATTTGTTAAAACAAGTATTTGAAATTTCATGGCATAGTTTTTATGTGATATCTCCCTTTAAATTTTGCATTGCCTCACTTCTCTTTTGTATCTTGCTGCATATATATCACTGTAAGCTCTATGAATTATTTTCTGAGCAAAGGCTTGCAAAATGCAAACACATAAAAGAAATAGGTATAATTTTTCCCCATCCATTTTTAATAAACTAAAGGTTTTTTTTAAAAAAAAAAAAAAGCTCAATATCCCTATGTGTGTGATACTATAATTAGTTTAGCATATCTGTATGTTGTGAATTCCTAGATTTTAGATGAAAAGTGACCTAAGGTTGAAATGTTAATTAAATGTTTTAATGTTCTGTAGTTCTAAAGAAAATAGTTGGATAAAATGTCAGTATATAGGAGTATTTTAAACATTTTTTAAAAATCATCTCTCTGTAAAGGAAGGTAATTGTACAAGTTTGTCTAATCCTTTTGATCTTGGCACACAGCAATACAGACTTCAGTTGAGATTAAAACTATGAATTTCAAAGGAAACATGGCCTTCAGTGTATAAAATATATAACAGCTGGTTGACTAGTCCATTTAAAACTACACAATAACAATCGTAGACAGAATGATTCTCCTGCCAAAAGATGCACGAGTGCTTGATAGTTATATCAAGATACGATACTAACTCACACTTTTCTTTAGTAATGATATAAATGTAGAAATGAACTGTGTACTGCTGGCTCAAAATATCTCTTCTGCCCAACAGTTCAAGGGCAGTTTAGAAGTATAGAACCCCTTTTAGTGATTTCTCTATCTGCTTTTCAGGCTGAACTTCAGTATGTTGTTGACTAAATTTCATTTTTTAAAACTGTCTGATACAATTTTTATTCTTAGCATCCCACAGTTTTTTCCCTAAATCTTTGATCCTCCATTTTTACTTTCTTGGGCTTCATGACTTATTGATCTTAATGTCACAATTTCACACATATTTTTAAGCTCTCAAAATTAAACTTTTCTTTGTAAATAGGATAAAGCTTGTTTCACATTATATATATATGTATATTAAGGTAAATAGCTGAACTCTGAAGCATTGTGTTTTATATATAATCAATGTGGAGGAAATTGATGCTCATATTCATGGATTTTAGTTTATTAAATATTTCCATTGTGTTTTACCTGAAGATGTAATCTTTAAATTAGTGAAATTGATGCATTTTTTTTAAATGAGGATTGATGTGAATTTGTCACTTCTGGCAAGTCACATATAGAAAACATATTTGTATTCTGAATTTATATCCAACCAATATGAAAAAATGTTAATTTTCTGTGACCTTTGTTAGAAAATTTTGATACAACATAGTTAACATCAAATTTTCTTTTATTTTCTTTAGATTTATTTCAAATAAGGAAATTTACCTATAGATAAAATTGAAATTTGCTAAAGTAACTCAGATTCACTGCAAATTCAGAGCCAGCATTTAAGGAGTTAATGCATCTTATTAGGGGGACAGGAAATCTGGCAACTATTGCAGAAACTAGACCTAATGGTGCACACAAACAATTTGTCAGTCTTCTTAAATGTGAATAGCTTTCCGCAAAGTGGCTGCTCTTGCTTTGTTTGAACAGGCTAAACTTTTCCTTTTTGGACTTTACATCTTAGAAGTGAAATGTGATCCACATATTCAATCAAAATCATTTAATTCAAAGCATATTTTGATTGGAACAAAGTTGACATGGAAAGAAACTCTAGAATAAAAAAGTTGAAAGGACTTTATATCATATATTTAGCAGGAAAATTTGAAACAGTTCTAATTAGGCTGAAAAAAACAGCTTTCTTCAATGTAAATTACAAAGGTCATATATCAATGTTAAGGAAACATTACCACTAGTGTTTGAAATCCAACACATGCAAACATAACAGACCAGTTCATTTTAAATCTCTGTGTGTATATGTGTTTGTATAGGAAGAAGGCCGTATTACATGGATTTAAAATGAAAAATACTTAAAATTCCAAGTTTATAACTTTGTATATTACCGCCTTGCCAATCTCAATGTCAGTTCCTTTAAAACATACTGTTATCTATGTTCAAATGAATTAAGACTCTTAATTATAAGTACAATTAAAATTTTACAAAATGGATGTTTCATTCATTATAAATACGATTAAATACATCTTATAAGTAAATGTATTTCAAGTCAGGAGGGTTAATCAGTGATTTTCATTTTCTCATTTGAAACTTACAGCTATGGTATTTTGTATCTCAGAACCTTTGTACCTTGGGCCTTCTAGAAGCCTGGGAGTGGAAGTAGTGGTACAGGTGTGCAGAAATGTATTTCTGGGCTGCCTAGGCCTATTCTCTCTGGTTATAAAAAGTGTATAAAGAATATTTGATCTTTTTATTTAACTTTTTATAAAAATCATTTATCCCATAGATATTGCTAGTTTTTATTTAGTTTCTTTTTTTAATGGAGTGGTATGAGAATGTTTAGCCAAAGAATAAGTAAATATTAGCATTAAGCTGGGAATGACAAGTATGAGAAACATAAATAATAAACAAATAAGGTTTCTTGGTCTTGAGGTAAACAATTATCTAATAATTTCCTTTGTTGATTGAAATTGGTTTTCTTGATTTTTACATTGGCAAAAATTTGGTTTTTTGAAAATAAAAGGAAATTGCTAGTGTATCACTAATGCATGTGTAGATTAAATACATAGTTAATGCCTTTTAGTTTAGAATTTTTATTCTCAAATAGCTTAGAGTTTCTTGGAAAAAGCTGTTTCTATATGTTATCACATTTTTTGACTCCACTATAGAAAATAATAATTTTATATAACACTTTTTATAAAGAAATAATCTATTTCTTAAGTGAGTTAGTTTCAGGAAAGCATAGATTGTGTTCTTTCAGTGAGATTTGCTAAACATGCACACAGACACACACATATATATATACACACACACACACATATTGTAATTATTTCTGACACAGGGTTATACAAACCTCCTATTTATGAATAATTTACTATTATCTTTATAATATTAAAACTTTGTTGATATTCTGTATGCAGAACAAACAAATGAAAGTTAGTAATAAGTGTATTTGACATCTGTATACTGTACTTTTTAGCATATCTGAAGTATTTTACTCTGCCTAATAGATCTCATTAAAAAAAACAGATATCAGCGCCAAGACAGTTTGTCAACACTAATATGAGTCCCCCTGGATTGGATTGAACATTCGTGTGAGGCTTCATATGATAGTCTTTTCATAGTCTTATCTGATCCTTAACAATTGGACATTAGTCACTGATTTATTTTATAATAACTCAGATGAGTTGAATATTATTATATTGTGTTGGACATTTTAGTGGATTTTCTTTTTTACAAATATTACTCAGAGCACACATTGGATGTAAGTGATGTATGCAGCCTGCTAGGGGAGTACTAACAATTGATTGGTTAGGTTTGAGAGCAGCATGGGAAGAATGTTACTATCCCCTAGCTGCAAACCGTATTTAACTCCAGGCTTAATGAGGACTGTCGGTTTTGAAGGCTTTGAAAAATCTCAAATGCTCAGCATTCCACTGGCATTTTTCATTTTTTTGTAACTAAAAATGTAGATCTAAATGAGAATTTTCTATATATGAAGAATTTTTTTAAAAAATCTTAATATATAAAAAAGCTATTTTAATATAGGTTTTATGATTTATGTTTTTAAATCTTAAAAATGGGAGTTATAAAAGGCAACCTCAGGGTATTCCATTTTGAATTACATTCTGTTTGTATTTTTTCCCTTAATTTCTTCCTGCCTGTCCTTCTCTCTCCCCTCAAGTCTTAAGTGCATTACCTACTTTTGGTTAGGCAGTTGTCATTCACTGATAGCAAAAGGATGTTAAAGTTCGGAGCTGACTTTGTACTGAAATGACTTTGAAACTTCTTGGAATTCTCTTATACTTACCACTTTGTTCTTTTAGGTCCCTTTTTAAAGCTTTGGTATATTGCAAGACATGCTTGAAGCTGACTAATGGAATTTTTAGTTGAGTGTTTGAGAAATTATTTAAAGTATATTCATGAAGGTAACGTGTTTATCAACTTCTGGAAGTGATTTTGCCAATAGTTCCGCGAATTACTGGTCAACTCCTTAAGGACTGACCTATGACAATGTAAGGTGAGGTCTGAACCATGGCATTGTGGTGATCTCTGCATGTGTGTTTGCAGCATGATATGAGCACACGGTAGCTTTCCTTTCAGCATTTTTGCTTAAAATTCTGATGCAGTATCAAGATGTAAAGCTTTAAGCATCGAAATCTAACCAACTTTACCATTTTGAGTGTGCATAAAGAAGTAGTCAACCGTAAGGAAAATTCAACAGTTCTTTGTTTGGTGACACATAAAATAAAATTGCCCTAGTTTTTAGAGCTTTAATATTGAGAAAATTCATTTGTACTTTGTCATTTGCTGAGCCTTCTAGAATTTTATGGTCTCAAATCACAACACCATGGACACTCAGGAGACTCCTGACTGTTTTATCTTATTAAACAATTTTGAAATCATTAATTTTTAATTAGCTTGGATGCAGGGTTTGTTTATTGTTTCAATAGTGTGTGTATATGAACTACACGTTTTTTATTTAAACTACTGGCAAGAGTACTATTTACATAAATAAGTATAAGTTCTTTCTAAGAGTATATACTGTGAGTATATACTCTTCATAGAGTCATATTTTTTGTAAACTCAGAGATATTATATGCTAATCTATTATAGTAGAGCTTTTCGGCAGTTTATGAACTCAGATTTCGAACAGCCACCAAAAAGGATGTAAGCCTGAAGATATGCATAGGTCCTTCCCTGATTGAAAGTTCTAATTAAGTGAATTGGAGAAAATTAACTGAAATTAGCTGTCAGAAAGTCACATTTAAATGAGTGATGAGCTAGTCTGGCAGTAAACATTTAAATGATATAAATTGCCATTTAAGTGTATGGTTTAATGTTTGTCATGCATTAATGTGACATGAGACTGCAGTGACAATCAAGCAGCTTGCTCTAATTTGAACATATTTAGGGCTTTTGTGTAGAGTGCACTGCACACAAATTAAGACAATTGCTGTTTTTATGTGTCATTGTAAATGTGCCTACCCCATACCCCCATCCCTACCCAAGGTCTAAGTTAATGAAACCAACGTATCATTTCTGTGTGTAACTTGCATTAGTAGTTCCTAGATTTTTTTCAAATTTATGTACTTAAAATAGGCATTTACTTAAAGTTATCACAAGCTCCTCTCTTCTTATTTCAAGTAAAATATGAAGCAGTTTTGTGCTGTCATATCTGTTTAATAAATTTGTAAATGTAAAGCATTTTAGAAGAGATGTCTAAAACAATAACTTTCTCAATTGAACCTAGCTAAGTATTTTTAAGGCATATTTCATTTAAAGTATACTTTGGGATGTGAGAATTGCATAGAGTTTTGTTTACAAAATTATATTTTCAATTTTATATTTGTGATATATCATAAAGCTATGTTAAATATTAAAGGAAATTTTTTTTGTATTTAGCTATAAACATTTCTTTTTCATAGGCACTTATTTTAATAAAGCGTATCTTTACACAAGTGTCCACATGTAAAGGAATAGGAACGTCTTTTGTCACAAGATGGTTTATGTCTCATTGGTTACTTGCTATACAAGTTGGTCAGTTTTGTTTTAAAACCAACAGATCTCTTATAACATAGCAGCAAGCCATACTGAAAATACATCACAATCATAGACTTACTACTCTAAAAATAAAAATCAATTTCAATGAGATACATTACCAGATATAAGTTGGTACAGCAGTCTCCTCCTTATCCACAGTTTTGCTTTCCAGAATTCCAGTTACCTGTGTTTAACCAAGGTCTGAAAATGTGTGAGTACAGTACAATCAGATACTTTGAGATAGAGACAGAGACCATATTTACATAACATTTATTATGGTTTTTCTTTACAGTATATCATTGTTCAATTTTGTTGTTATTGTTGTTTATCTCTTACTGTGCCTAATTTATAAATTAAACTTTATCATAGGTATTTATGTATAGGAAAAAACATAGTACATATAGGTATAGGGTTTGGTACTATTCACAGATTCAGGCATCTACTGGGGGTCTTCGAAGAACATACCCCTGTGGATGAGGGGGGATTACTGTATAGTTTTTTTGTTTTGTTTTGTTTTTTGAGACGGAGTCTCACTCTGTCACCCAGGCTGGAGTGCAGTGGCGCGATCTCGGCTCACTGCAAGCTCCACCTCCTGGGTTCATGCCATTCTCCTGCCTCAGCCTCCCGGGTAGCTGGGACTACAGGCGCCCGCCACCACGCCCGGCTAATTTTTTGTATTTTTAGTAGAGACAGGGTTTCACTGTGTTAGCCAGGATGGTCTCGATCTCCTGACCTCGTGATCCGCCCACCTCAGCCTCCCAAAGTGCTGGGATTACAGGCATGAACCACCGTGCCCGGCCTACTGTATACTTTTAATTAAGCTTTAGAGTTTATGTTTGAAAACTCTTTGATTTTAATATAATTATTTATCGTTAAACTAATCCATAATGCTAAACTTTGATGTTGGAATGATTTTGAACAATATTAAATAATATAAAGATGGATAGTTTCCTAAAAAATATCTTTAGTTTTTAAAAGTCTTTAGTATTTATAACGTTATTAAATTCACCAAACATTATTGGCATCTATTATGTTTTAGGCACAACGCTTGTAGCTGGGAATATAATGATGGATAGGAAATGGATCTTGTGCCTAGCATCTCAACCAAATACTTGATTGTGTTCATTCGTTATTTATTGGACACTATTATGTTAATAGCATCAAATATTTGGTCAGGTTTGATATTAATACCTAGAATAAAAATTCAGTAATTATAGGTATCCCCCACAAAATCTAATTTGTTAGCATAAGAACTCAATCAACATAACTAAATAATTTGGTTAAACATGTTGAAATAGACTACAAAATATTTTAATTCTAGAAAAATAATAAATATTTCAAGTGGATGGTAAATTTTTAACATTTTCACATTTAGTTTCCCAAAATAGTCTTTGCCTTGTATGGCTTCCTTTCTTTGAAGCATAAATCGAGTACCTGTCAGGCCCTGAGTTACAAATGTGACCAAGATAGGCCCAGTCCTGGTCCTCAGTGCTGTCAGTACGGTAGAAAAATACTGAAACTTACACATTTATTGTAATTAATTATGCCAAGTGCCGGAAAGCCTCTAATTATAAACCAAGGAGGACAGATTCTGGTAGAAACTAGGACATCAGATAAGTTTCTTTCTTTTTTTTTTTTTTGAGATGGAGTTTCGCTCTTTTCCAGGCTGGAGTGAAGTGGCGTGATCTCGGTTCACTGCAACCTCTGCCTCCCAGGTTCAAGCGATTCTCCTGCCTCAGCCTCCTGAATAGCTGGGATTACAGGCGCAGGCCACCACACCCAGCTAATTTTTGTATTTTTAGTAGAGACCGGGTTTCGCCATGTTGGCCAAGCTGGTCTCAAACTCCTGACCTCATGGTCTGCCCACCTCGGCCTCCCAGAGTGCTGGGATTATAGGCGTGAGCCACTGCGCCCGGCCACAAGTTTTGTTTTTTAAAAATCTTTGTTCACAGTAAAGTTAGTGTTAAACTTTACTGATTGCTCTAAATGTCTCTCTATATTTTTAAAAAGGAATTCAGCATAGTAATACAATGTATACCTTTTTTCAGGCCCTGGAGAGTGAATTTGTTTCCTGCCAGCTTCACCAATGGATTGATCTCATTTTTGGCTATAAACAGCAAGGACCAGAAGCTGTCCGAGCCCTCAATGTGTTCTATTACTTGACCTATGAAGGAGCTGTCAATCTGAATTCAATAACTGATCCTGTGTTGAGAGAGGTAAGTTATCTGAATTGAGAAAGCAACTTATAGTCAGGTATATTTAAACTAGAAGGAGCTAGAGAACACCTCCCCCATCCTTTGATTTTAGTGATGAAGAAAGTGAAACTAGATGTAAAGTGCCTTAAGCAGAATAATTTATCAGTGACCTAGCAAGAACTTGAACCCAGAGGTTCCTTCCAACAAAATGTTTGACCCAATATAAGATGACGGCTTTTTCTATTTGAACCTGTTAAGGTATAAATAATCTTATTTATAATTTTATATAACTTTGGGGGTTACTCATGATTTTTGTAGGAAAATAGTAATAATTCATTAAAGAGATATGATTATGAGCATAAATTTATTGAAATGTGATAAAACACATATTTATATGTAATACCTAAGAACATATATAACCACATAGAAGTTAATGGGGGGGTTGAAGTCCAAATCTTTCCTATGTGATCAAATTGTTGTTAGATGTTATTGAACTTGTTTTATTCTTGTCATTTATTTTCTCAAGTAAAACACTTAAAACATGATTTTGGCAAATGCAGCACTCACCAAAAAGTCTGTAGAAGACCTTACTTTTTTTAGTATTTCTAATCTAATTATGCATCCTTCTAATTCCAATATACTTCATATGAAAAATTATAGAATTGAATGATACAACCTTAATCTGTACAATTTTAGAACACAACTGCGTTTAGGAAACCAGGAGCTTTGATTCATGGGGCAAGTTATATATCACTTTGAAGGGAACATTATTTGTAATGTGTGAGATTTGCCATTTTTCCCTAGCACTTGATGCATTCTTTTATAGTTCTACTAAGATCTGATCATGCGGAAGGTATGTAAGTACATATTTAAATAAATTGGCATATTATCACCTGGCTTATGTGCTAGATAAGTTAGCATGCACACAAAAGCACTGTGTACTAGATGTACACTTGCATTAAATTGCCCAAGTTTTAAATTGCTATGTTTCAGTTTTAAAAACTGTGGTAGCAGAGAATTGGGTCACATAAACTCTTAAAGACTCTTCCAGTTGTTCAGTTTTTTGAAAATACTCCTTCTGGGGGTATTTTATTTGATCAGAACATCAATTGACTGTATGACACAGAATATACATAGGATTCCATAAAGGTATTGAGGTGAGAGCAACATACAGGTAGTGTTACAAAACACTGCATAGTTTTATTGTTGGGATAAAATAGCATAGGCCTATTTACTTTCTTTTTTTTGTTCATTTTGGCAATATTTGAACGTAATACTTTATTCTGTTAAATGCCCATAATTCTTCAACAAATATACCAGCTATTTTTGTTTTCTCCTGTTATCCTGTAGTAATTATCCATATCTCTACATAGCTGATATATAACTGAATTCTCACTGTAGAACTGATTTTATAATTTCTTAAAAAGAGATTGGTTGTATTTAATATACCAGCATATTGTTTTTTGTACCAGCATAAATTGGTTGTACTTACTATGCCAGTATATATTTTTTGTGTCACTATATGCAATCTCCGTATTTCTAATTTTGAAATTCTGTAATGTTCTATAGAGTTGCTGTGAAAATATGCTTAACACTGTTTCTCTCAATGCAAGATCCTATTACTTAAAAGACTTGTCTCTTGGTATGTCCAAGATGACATAAGTAGCTCTACTTTTCATTAAAGGTTACGCAATGTTTTCATGATTAAAAATGTCACTTGGCCTATATCTGTTTGTCATGGCTAGTTAACAAGTAGTACACTCAATCAGCTAGTTATTTCCTCTATGAGTCACTCTATGTGCTTGGCTTTTTATTTTTATTCTGGATTGACCACTGTCCCCACTTACACACCAATGATTGTTTAAGGAAGTTTACTGTGCGTTAATCTAGAAGAACACTGTCTAGAATTTTCTGCAGTGCTGGAAATGTTCTCTATCTGCACTGTCTAATAAACCATGAACCATATGTAGTTATTGTACATTGAAATGTGGCTAGTGTGACTAAGGAACTAAATGCTTAATTTTAATTAATATAAATTTAAATAGGCACAGATGACTAGAGGCTACAGCATTGTACAGCAGAGAGTTAGAAGACTTATGTTTGTCTTTGACCATCTTTTCTTACTCTGAGTTCAGCATATGTGATCAGACAATGGAAAAATAAATGTTAAATTGACTTGGTAGGATATTTCAAAGTGGGAATACTCCATGTAGACATTAGATATATATTTGAATATAGGTGTAAGCTCAATTATATTTTTTCTTTCACCTAAACTAACACATTATAATTTCAAATAAAATTGTTTATTGTGATAAATATATATAACATAAAATTGAACATTTTTACCTTTGTTTTTTTTTTTTTTTTGAGACAGAGTCTCGCTCTTTCACCCAGGCTGGAGTGCAGTTGCGCAAGCTCAGCTCATTACAACCTCCGCCTCCTGGGTTCAAGTGATTCTCCTGCCTCAGCCTCCTGAGTAGCTGGAATTACAGGTGCCTGCCACCACGCCTGGCTAATTTTTGTATTTTTAGTAGAGATGGGGTCTCACCATGTTGCCCAGGCTGGTCTCAAACTCCTGAACTCAAGTGATCCGCCTCCCTTGGCCTCCCAAAGTGCTGGGATTACAGACCTGAGCCACTGCCCCTGGCCATTTTTACCATTTTTGAGTTTACAGTTCAGTGGCATCAAGAACATTGACATTCTTGTACAGCCATCACCACCATCCATCTCTAGAAATGTTTCATCTTCCCAAACTGAAACTCTCTAAGCATTAAACAATAACTCCTCATTCCTTCCTCCCCAGTCCCTGTACAATTACAATGCTACTTTTTATCTCTATAAATTTGACTACCCTGAATACCTCATAGAAGTGGAATGCTGCAACATTTGTCTTTTTATGTCTAGCTTATTTTACTTAGCGTAATATCTTCAAGATTTGTCCATGCTATAGAATGTATCACAATTTCCTTTCTCTTTAGGCTGAGTAATATTCCATTGTGTATATATATATACCACATTTTGTTTATCCATTTATATATCAATGGGCATTTTGGGTTGTTTCCATCTTTTGGCTATTATGAACAATGTGGCCAAGAGTATGGATGTACACCATCTGTTCAAATGCCTGCTTTCAATTCTTTTGGATATACACCCAGAAATGGAATTTCTGGATTATGTGATAATTCCAAGTTTAACTTTTTGAAGAAGCATCATAACAAATAAGTGTTTTTTTTTTTTTTTTTTTTTTTTTTTTTTGAGACAGAGTCTCACATTGTTGCCAGGCTGGAGTGCAATGGTGTAATCTTGGCTCACTGCAACCTCCGCCTCCCAGGTTCAAGTGATTTTCCTGCCTCAGTCTCCTGGATAGCTGGGATTACAGGCATGCACCACCATGCCCGGCTAATTTTTGTATTTTTAGTAGAGACGGGTTTTACCATATTAGCCAGGCTGGTCTCGAACTCCTGACCTCATGATCTGCCAGCCTTGGCCCCCCACAGTGCTGGGATTACAGGCATGAGCCACCGCACCCGGCCACAGATAAGTTTTTAATATTTATTTTTTATGATCAACTTTTGCTAAAGACCGTTAAAACTTTTGCTTTAAGTTTGACTTCCTTTTCTTTACCACAATCCTAAGTAGTTAATTATGAGAAAATTAAGCCTTAACTGATAGTCTTCCACACATCACACCTTAATTTGTTTTTATATTATACATTATATAGACTTATATATAATATATATTCTGTATTAGATTTGGCATTTATTAAACATGGCCTGTGATATTCTAAGTATGGTAGGTATTTGATATTCTTGAAATGAGAATATATCGCTTTGTTACTTAGCACTATTAAAATAAATACACACATTTAATTTATAAAACTTTCTGAATATCATTAAAATAAATGGGGCCAGGCGCAGTGGCTTACACGTGTAATCCCAGCATTTTGGAAGGCCACGGCAGGAGGATCACTTGAGTCCAGGGGTTCAAGAGCAGCCTGGGCAACAAAGTGAGGCCCCATCTCCACAACAAATTTAAAAATTGTTTGGGTGTGGTGGTGTACACCTATAATTCCAGCTATTGGGTGCTGTGGGAGGTGGGAGGATTGCTTGAGCCCAGGAGGTCAAGGCTGCAGTGAGCCATGATTGTACCATGGCAATCCAGCCTGAGCAACAGAGTGAGACCCTGTCTCAAAAAAAAAGGTTGAGGGGAATAGTCTTTTATTATAGCCTTTTCATACCATTTACCAGTGCTAAATCCTATAGTATAATGCAGTTTGATATAATAGAATGAACAAAGAAACAAACAAATAAATAAATTTGAATTTGAGTCATGGCCCTGATGCCTACTAGTTGTGTTCCTCAGACTCTGTTTCCTATATATAGAAGTCATACGATAATGCCCACTCTACAGAGGATGAGATGACATATAATGCATGTAAACCGCCTGGCATGGTGCCTATCCCCTCATAAGTACTCAGCAAGTGTTAGTTCTTTCCCTTATGTTGCTCACAGTTAAATCCCTGGGTTAGAAAACACAGCTATAAAAGGAATATGAACTACTGATTAGATCATAGAAAGAATCATAAAACATTAACACTAGAGAAGTTATCAGAGACCATTTCCTAGTGGATGCATGCTGAGTTCATTGTTAAGTGAGGCAAGAAAGCAGAAAACATGAATAGGTCATTAATTTATTCATTTTTTCAACAACCTTTTACTAAACCCGAATCATGTAATAAGGTTAAAGGGTTGAAAGGCAAAGTCCCTGCCCTCCCTCAGCTAGAGTTCATTATCTAATGGGAAAATAAGTGTAACTAAACAATTATAATATAATCTGATAAATTCAGTACAGAGATAAATATATGTAAGTATGTATGCACAAGCATAGGATAGGTACTAAGCCCAAACTGACAGAATCCAGGCATGTTTTCCAGAGAATGAGAGGCTGGAGTTGCATATTGAAGGATGAATAAGATCATTGGGTAGAGTCATGAGCAGAAGTTACCTACACAGAGGCAACTGCATACCCTTCCTGCACATAGATAAAAGAGATGGCTAGAGAATATGGTATATGTGGAATGAAGTAAAGGTTAGCAGATGAGAGAGAGAGAGACACAGGAGCCAGATCTTAAACAGTCTTCAATACCATAAAACATAATTTTCAGCAGGGCATGGTGGCTCACACCTATAATTCCAGCACTTTTGGAGGCCAAGGCAAGAGAATGGCTTCAGGCTGGGAGTTCAAGACCAGCCTGGGCAACATAGCAAGACTTCATCTCTACAAAAAGATGAAAAACTTATCTGGGCATGGTGGCACATACATATAGCCCTAGCTGAGATGAGAGGATTGCTTGAGCCCAGGAGTTGGAGGCTGCATTGAGCTATGATCCTGCCATTGCACTCCAGCCTGGGCGACAGAGTAAGACCCTATCTTTAAAAAATAATACTTTTAACTGCATCATAAGGCAGTAGGGAACCACTGAAGGTTGGTGACATAGCCCCATGTTACTAATATGTTTGTTTAGAATCTGAAAGAAGATTGAACAAATAAGAACTAAAAAGTACTGACTGGATTTTTCTAAGAGGTCATTGGTGATCTTAGAGAAATAGCTTAGAAAGTAGAGGATTGTGTTATGAATGGGAGATGTTGAAGTAAACACAGTAAATAAAGAAAATAATTTAAGCTTTATTGAGATATAGTTCACATATGTTACAATTCACCCATTTAAAGTTTATGATAGTTTTTAGTATATTCACAGAGTTGTACAAGCATCACCACAATTTAAGAGCATTTTTGTCACCACAAAAAGAAATCTTTATATGCGCCAGCAGTTGCTCTAAAGGATAATTTTTTTTTAATGAGTAAATATTGGACTATGTTTCTATATTAATGGGAAAGATCCAAAAGGAGGGAAGCATGTCAGACATGCAGGAGAGAAAGTGTGTAATACACTATCAAGCTCTGTGTGAAAGTGGAGAAGAACAAAACCCAGAGCATAGATAGAGATAAGCACTGAACAGGAGGGAACAATAGGGCCTCATCTCAGATTGGAGAGTAGACGGATAGCATGGGGACTTGTGTAAGTAAATGTGTATGAATGAGGTGGAAAGGCAACAAGATTCTGTTTATGAGGGTTTGTGCTAAGGATGAGATAATATTTATACTTAATGGGTGCTGCTCAATAATTATAATTTCCTTTCAATATTGTTTTTCTGTGTTTTCAACATCAGGAGAATAGGTGTAGAAAAAAGTTGAACAGAGAGGGATGTGTGTGTGTGCACGCCTGTGTGTTTGTGGAGAGAGAGACAGAAAGATAGACACAGGTGGGGTTTGCCATGGAAGTATGGTGAAATGTATGAAAAAGGATTGAAGGTGCAAGGGTGGCTGATGAAACTGTTAAAGGGATGTTGTAGAAAAGATGAAACGTGAACCTGGGCTGGATTGAGTAGATAAGAAAGGAAGGAAGGGAGTGATAAACTGGGAAAGTTTATCCTTTTATTCATTACTAATTCATTTATTCAACAAATATTCGTTTTGTTCAGGATGCTAAAAATGTGGAGATGAGCAAGACAGGCAAAGTCTGTTCCCTCCTGGAGCTCACATTCTAATGGGGCACACAGAAAATAAAATTTAAAGACTGTAATTTCAATTATAACAAGTGCTATAAAGAAAATAGAAGTGGGTAAGGTGATACAAAGTGCTGTGAGGGTGGAGAACTGTTAGAAGGGATGGTTAATGACTGCCTCTCTGTCTTCATAAACAGTGTTTCCTTTAAAACTTTAGGATCGGAGTACAGCTAAACAAGGGCACCAGGGAGTTAGCTCCTACTGCTCTCCCACAGCCAAGCATGTCCCTGCAGTGCCCAGCCTGGGACAGCCTCCAAGTCAAGTCTTGTCACAGGCTTCATGTCAGTTGTGAAACTTTCACTATTGCCTTCTACTAATTTACTCCCCACCCCCACCTCCAGGCCACGCCTCTCTTTTCTTCAGAATCTTGTTTCTCTAAGGTGCTTTAATATCATTAATATTAGCACATTTGTATATCTGCTTGATTTATATTAAAGCATTATTTCTGCAAAACCACAATCATGGTACAAGGATAGATTTGTACCTTTCCAGTATCAAAAGCAAATTAGACTAATTTCTGTTCAGTAGCTATACTTTTACTTATTTCTGTTCACTTCTATACACTTAATTCAGTCTGGAAATACGTTCCCAGTCATACAGAGGCAAGTTGTGTACATACAAGTCATGTAATCACCTACTATTTTGGGAAAAGCGCCATTCTTCTTGAGAAAGTTTCCATTTTATAATGAATGGTTAATACACATGGCATAGTAAGTGATCATAAAAATAATCTCTCTATAAAAAGAGCACTAAACGATAGAAATAATAACCATAAGAGGAGGAAGAGTAATCAGAGAAACAGCCTGCAGCACATTAAACTTTTATGTTGTTTTTAATTTTTAGAAAACAGCTGGGTTATCAATATACAACTATGTCTGCATTTACATATATCACACACCAGAAAGAATTCTTTTTCGGACAAATATGCTAATCTTTCAAAAAATATCTTGTGACCCCAACTTAAGAATATAGTCTTATCTTTATCTGTTTACTCTTCTTTATTTCTCTGTATTTTGGCACTATTCTTTTTTTCACTGCCTTTAACATTTTTTTAATCTATTCTAGTTCCTCAATATTACATATATTCTTTTATAGATAAGGGACAAATAAATAAAAGTTGGTCATTTTCTGATTATTCTGCTGATTTTGATTTGGCTCATTCATGTCTTTTCTTTCAAACACAATCTTATTAAGCCTTTCTAACCCCATTTTTGAAAAACGTAAAACCCAAGGAAAGAAGAAATTTTCAAAAAAGATAAAAATTAGAATATTTGAACTCAGGGTCAGATATGAGTAAGAATAACTATTTTTACGAATTAAAAAAATTCTCTTAAAATCGAAATCCACAAATTAAATACATGATGAATATTTTATAAAATAATTTTCCCTCTTCTAAAAGATTTAACATAAGTATTTTCCTTAAATTAATATATTTAAAGTATAATCATATCTATAGGCATGGTTTCTAGAACAATTCTATATCCTTATCCAGAATTCACCCATTAATTTTCATATAAATGCTATTTGCAATATACAAAGGTTGAAAGCTATCTAGACATTAGTATCTTAGTATGAAATAGTTCATTGATGAAGTTTAGTAGGTAAGAAATATATTTTTTTAAAAAATACACATATATGCATATGTCTGTGTGTATGTAAATAAATATATATATATTATATATATGGCAATGTGACAGTCACTGAATACGGGAGCACAAAGGAGACATTTCTAACCCAGGTTAAGAAAGTATCAACTGTCTGAACATAATCCTTAAGAAATTTGAGTTAAGTCAGTGAAGCAAAAGAAATGGAAGGGACATTCAAAGCGGAGAGTATGGCATGTGGAAAAGAGCACAGTATGGCTCTATGACTTGAAAAAATCGTGTGGTAGGAAGGGAGAGCATAAGAAGTTGGTGATAGGCCAGGCAAGGTGGCTCACACCTGTAATCCCAGCACTTTGGGAGGCTGAGGCAGGAGGACTGCTTGAGGGCAGGAGTTCAAGACCAGCCTGGGCAACATAGTGAGACCCTGTTCCTAAAAAAATTAAAATACAAATAATTAGCCAGGCGTGGTGGTATGCGCCTGTAGTTCCAGCTTCTCAGGAGGCTGAGGAATGAGAATTGTTTGAACTGGGGAGGCAGAGGTTGCAGTGAGTTCAGATCACACCACTGCACTCTAGCCTGGGTGACAAAGCAAGACTCTGTCTCAAAAGAGCAGCTAGGCTGGTGAGATCTCTAAAACATATTTGGAAACCATTCATATCTGTTCATCATTAGTTCAAGCCGCCACCATACTCTCCCCACTGGACTAACGCTAGTAGACCAGGTCACCTTTTTCTGTCCCTGCCTACCTACAGTCCACTTTCCACCGAGCTGCCAAAGTGGTATTTGAAACTGTAAGTCAGATCATTTCACTTCCTTCTTAAACTTTCCTATTTCACATCAAACATAGAATAAAATCTGCTTGACTCACATGATCTGGCCCTGCATACCTCCCTGATCTCATGTCGTCTGTTCTCTTCCTCATCGATGTGTCCTGTCACACTGACATTTCTGTTCCTGATTACATGAAGGGGAAGGCCTTTGTAAGTCTAATATCAAAGCTAAAAATCCTTAAGGAAATTAATATATTCACGTATAAACACTACATGAAAAGGATGTTTCTGTACATCTAAAGCAACAACAAATAACAAAGTACAGGAATAGAAAACTCATGAAAGATGAAATGCAAGTCACATATGAAAAGCACTTTAAGCTGGGCACAGTGGTTCACACCTGTAATTCCAATGCTTTGGGAGGCCAAGGTGGGAGGATCGCTTAGGCCCAGGAGTTTGAGACCAGCCTGGGCAAAGAGCAGGACCCAGTAAGAGAAGTAGTTCATCCTCACTATTAATCAATGACATTAAATTGAACACACAATAACATTTGTGTCCACTAGATTATCTAAGATTAAAAATAATAAAAATTTTAATGTTGGTGCAGTATGAGAAAACAGATACTGTCATATATTTGGTGAGGATGAAAATAGGTTGAATCTTTATAGCAATCTGTATCAATTATTAAAATGTTCATGTACTATTTACTTAGAACTCTAACCAAAAGTAATAATTGACCAAGTGTGAAAAAAATATTCAGTTATATAGTTCATATGTATTAGTCTGTTCTCATGCTGCTATGAGGACATACCCGAGACTGGGTAATTCTAAAGGAAAGAGGTTTAATTGACTCAGTTCCACATGGCTAGGGAGGCCTCAGGGAACTTACAGCCATGGTGAAAGGGGAAGCAAACATATCCTTCTTTGCAAGGCGGCAGGAGAGAGAAGAATGAGAGCTGAGCGAAGGAGGATGCCCGTTATAAAACCATCAGATCTCGTGAGAACTTACCATCACAAGAATAGTATGGGGGAAACCACCACCATGATTCAGTTACCTCCGACGGGGTCCTTCTCACGATGTGGGGATTGTGGGAACTACAATTCAAGATGAGATTTGGGTAGGGACGCAGCCAAACCGTATTATCATAATAGCAAAAAAAAAAAAAAAGGAAAAGGAGCAACGTAAATTTCCAGTAGAGAAGTAGTTAATTAAATATTGGTAAATTTACACAGTAGAATACTGTGTATCATCAAAAATGTTGCTGTGTAAATCTATATGTATTACCATGGAAGAATATTTTGCCATATTACAGTGAATAATAGACAATGTTATGGAACATATAAAATACAAATGCATGAGGAAAAGTCTGGAATTATGGACCCCAAAATGTTCATGGTCATTATCTTTGGTTAATGAGATCATGGAATTCTTTAATTTGCCTCTTTCTATATTCTAAAAAATTATGTCTCTTGAAAATCAGAGAGAGAAAAAAAGCCAAACACAACTCTTTCTCCCTTTTCAGGGGGAAAGAATCTGCTTCTTGAAAATTTGAACAAGCAATGTATGTTAACATGAGGATATGAATACTGACTTCGTTTTTGGCTGTTCAGAGGTCTTTTGTAATTGCGTTCTGGGTTTTGGCCATGTTCTTTCTCAACATTCAATGTTGTTAGGGTACTGACCGTCTATAATGATCTTCGTGTAACTTTGACAGGAATGAAGGAATTTACAATTTCTTAACTTTTATCTCACTCAGAAATCAGAGTACCTCCAATCTCTTAATTTTCTATATATGTTATTTAATCCACTGAGCTATGGGAGTTTTCATACTTTTTAACATTTGAGTTTATTTCTTCATTTTTCCCATCATATTTGAGGGAGAGCACAAAGAACACTTCTACTTTCAGGGAAAATATCTTAGGTGTATCGCTGTTAATTGTAGTTTTTGTCATTATCTAAAAGCAAGAAGGCTTTTGGCTTAAGATTCCTGAATTCTAGAACTCTGGGTTCACTACTTGTGTGTGTGTGTGTGTGTGTGTGTGTGTATAATTAAATAGTTATACAAAGTGCTTTAAAAATGTATTTATCAAAGCAATACATGTTAACTATTTCAAGAGTCAAATAATACAAAAAGTATAAAGTGAGAGACTAGAAAGCTCTCATCCTCAAATTGGTAACTAATGCCAGAGTCACATGTTAATGTCTAGCTATAAGTTCCTCTTTGATGCACTTTGATGTGTATGTAAAGAAAAAAAGCCTCTGCTACAGAACTCATTGTCCTTTCCTAATGCCTGAAATTCTACCATTAGAGATCACTTATTTGGTTACAAATCCTTTAAAAAAAAATCCTTTCCAATCATGTGGCTGTCTGTGAGTAAGACTGGACAGTAGGTTTTGATCAAAGGAAAAGTACAAACACAGCAGAGGCTGGAGCAGTTGTTGTATAAGGGACACCAGGGCAGATCTTGGGGTACACTGGAGGTTGGAAGAAGGGGTGGGGCTTCAAAGGCTGAAAGATACTTGCAGGTAGATGTTGCTGTCAGACAACCTTAATATGAACAATATTATCTGTGCTTTTTCATCTTGTACTTTGTTATAAGTACTTGGTACATTTCCTCTAAAAGTGTCATTTTCTTCTTTACTTTTCACGTAAATACATTGTTTTATGTTTATGTGAGTTCAGAAATTAATTAAAGTTTTAAATTTCCTTTTGAAAATGGAACTCAGCTCTATTTGCATTGATAAATAGGGGAGAGGGGAGAGCCGTGATATTGCCCAGTTTAAAGAATTACTGTATACAAGTGACCTCAACATGAAAGTAAAACCTGAAAATTTTCCCTAAGTTGTGTTTAGTGTCAGTGGTTGGTTTTCCCTCTTCCAAATTTATCCTTCCAAATGCTGTCTTAGCTATGCGTAATCACTCTGAGGTCTGTTTTCCAAAAGAAGCAGCAGCAGTGTTTAAGTTTACATGACCCCAGTTTCATGACAGCAGTAGCAAATCAGATATCTTATCCAAGGAAAAGCATTTTTGGCTTAGAATTCCATCAGTCTGTTGGTGGGAGTCAGCAGCTCCAACACTGCTGCAGAACACTGGCTGCAGTGAATCTTTCAGAAAGCATAAACACAATTAGTATTTATAGCATTGTTAACATTTGTTAAATAGTTGGGGGAGTGGTCTGTAAGCCTGTTTCAAGCAGGTGGCGCAAGAATCTTTGTTGTGACTGTGGTGAGATTTAAGAGTAGGACACGATTACAGTGGTTGTAGCAATATAGTAAATTAGGAGTATTGAATACCGAAGTTAAGATTTCATGCAGCCACAATTCAAAGTGTTATAGAAATAATCATGAAGTACCTCTGGCCAAAAGTGTGTTACACAGATGGCATATTTGACACAGTGCAGGGCAGGAACTGTACAATGAGAAGCCAAATAAACGGTAAGGATTAGTCAGGTTTTAATTGAAAACCTACATTTAAAATACCATAAAATTATGCCAGACTTTCTTTTACTTCAAAACCACAATAATCAGACAAAAATTCCCTTATTCAATTAAATGAGCATCAAAGTTGTCAGTAAAGCTACTCTTTGTATTTTGCTCATTATTATGTCTTTTGCAGACTTACTAGTTAAGTTAGGTGTAACTAAATTATACACTCAAGGACATGAAGCAAAATATTAATATTTTTATGATTTTTTTTCCTATTAACTACCTACAGAATTCTGAGCCGTTCTATTATACTGATGACTTTTGTCATGAACCCCTGTTTCCTTTCAGGCACCATCTTTACTTCATCTAGGTCACTCTTAGCAAATGAATAACCAATGACTGCTGCTTTTCATGACATAGTTTAAACATATTTGTTTGGTTTTGAGAAATAATTTAACCTTCTTAATGTGAAAATTAACTCTCTGGATATTGTTGAGTTTTTTTCCTTTAAGACCTTTACTGTGTTTTCTCAACATTTGCTTCTTAGCATTGGCAACCTCTTTGAAGACATTCCACTTATTTTTCTAGGCAGGCTGCTTTATCTACTCATTTCCAGTAGCCAGAGATGGAGGTGTTTTGAATGAGCACATCAATGTTCTAGACAGAGATACTGTTTGAAATTATCCATGAACACAGTGCCGCTGAACATTATTGAGTGACGTTTGTTTCTGTTGGTTGTGTCTGCTCTGACTAGCTGGTTTCTTTCAGATTGGCAGCTGGGATTATGCTGTAGTAGATGGACAGCTACAAGAACTGGAGATTGTAGTGAGGCTGGGTTGGGACTCAGTTTAATGTGCCTGAAAAGTACGGGCTCCGTTACAGGCACTAATGGAAAAATCTGTGTGCATTTTCACAAATTATAATTACATCATATTTTACATTAGTAACTTCCATAATAATATTATTTGAGTAGATATGCTAGTATAAATACTCCTTTCCCTCCCTAATTTTCCTTCTCCCCCTTTTCTTTGCATTATTATTTTAAAATATGTTTTACTTTATTTAACAAGCTGCTCTTTCTCTTTATTTTTTATGTACTCCATTCCATCATGATATGTATTTGTTTCCAGTTACCTGATGCATTCTGAGTGCTTCTTGGAGGAAAACACATTATTTACTTAAACAAGTTTGTATTTAATTAATACTAAATGATGGCAAAAATTGCTAAAACTAAGGGATCCTTGGAATCAGATACAGATAAGTTAAAAAAGTAAACTCAATATTAACAAAATTAATTTTATAGCAAGGTCTATAGATTTAAGTTTTTGACCAGTTTATCAACTGAAGTTGTTCTTAGATGGTTACAGAATATTCCTTGGGAGAGGAGCAGAAAAGATAACTATTGGGTACGGGGCTTAATACCTGGGTGGTGAAATAATCTATACCACAAACCCCCAGGACACAAGTTTACCTATGTAACACACCTTCACATGTACCTCTGAACCTAAAATAAAAGTTAAAAATATATGTATTTCTTGCTATTATGTTAATGGATAAATTAAACTTCATAAAGGCCAAGCACAGTGGCTTCGCCAGGCGTGGTGGCTTAGGCTTGTAATCCCAGAACTTTGGGAGGCCAAGGCGGGCAGATCATTTGAGCTCAGGAGTTCAAGACCAACCTGGGCAACATGGCAAAACACCATCTCTACAAAAATACAAAAATCAGCCAGGCATGGTGGCACACACCTGTGGCTCCCTGCTACTCAGAGGCTGAGGTGGGAGGATCGCTTGCACCCAGGAAACAGAGGTTGCAGTGAGCTGAGATCATATCACTGCACTCCAGCCTGGGTGACAAAGTGAAATCCTATCTCAAAAAAGAAACAAAAACAAAAACATTTATTGAGTGCTTACTTAACCCTAGCCAGGCCCTGTGTTAAGTCTTTAATATATATGCTGTAATAATATCACACACTTACTGATAGCTTAGTATGTGCCATGAACTGTTCTAAGTGCTTTATATATACATATATGTGTGTGTGTATATATATATATACACACATATATAATACGTATATGTGTGTGTATATATATATACACACACATATATACGTATATATATACACATATATACACATATATACGTGTATATATATATGTATATATGTGTGTATATATATATACACAGCCACACATACACATATATTTTTTGCTGAAATAAGGTCATACTCTATATACTTTGGTAGTTAGAAATTTTTCTTTCTTTGGTATATTATGAACTAGTTTCTATGTCAGGTGTATTCAACTCATTTTAATGGCTGCATAGTATTCCATTATCAGAGTTTAAGTAGTTTTTTTCTTCCAATTTTTACTGTTATAGAGTGCTATAATAACTTTCTTTATATCTAAATCTTTTTGTCTTCATCTGATTCTTTCCTTATGAAAATTCATAGAAGTGGGGCTGGGTGTGTTGGCTTATGCCTGTAATCCCAGCACTTTGGGAGGCCGAGGCAGGCGGATCACCTGAAGTCAGGAGTTTGAGACCAGCCTGGACAACATGGCGAAACCCCATCTCTACTAAAAATACAAAATTTAGCCAGGTGTGGTGGTGCATACCTGTAATTCCAGCTACCAGGGAGGCTGAGGCAGGAGAATCACTTGAACCTCGGAGACGGAGGTTGCAGTGAGACAAGGTTGCACCACCACACTCCAGCCTGGGTGACAGAGCGAAACTCTGTCAAAAAAAAAAAAAAAAAACCAAGACAAAACAAAAAAAACTTAATAATGATATACCAAATATTTGCAGACCTTTTTTTTTAAATTGTCTTTTAGATTTTTTCAAAATGAAAATTGTTTTGTTATGCTTATTTCAAAAATAATACATGCTTTGTGTAAGATATCAATTGGTATAAAAATGAGGAAAGTATAAATTTTTATTCTGCCAATCTTTTCATCCTTCCTCCATCAGAGAAAATAGCAAATAATAGTTTGGAATATACCCCCCAGATTTTGCATGCAAGTGTTCATGCATATGTATGTATGTATGCACATAACACATGTAAGTATATGTGTGTTATATATATATACACATACATATATATAACATACAAACTTGACTTTTATCTAAATTCTTAGATATCTGTCTTTATGTCTGCATTCTCAAAACTAAAAACATTAAGTCTTTCAAGTCCAAATTTACATAGAATCACTTCTGTTGAATTTCATTTACTCTTCTATGTATTAATAGATTATTTTGCAAATTTCATTGAAAATATCCTCTGCTGTATATTTTGAACATTTATCTGCTTGAGTTTTAAATATTCCATATCCTGGTGTATCCATTTTCTTGAAAAACTATTTATCTCTTATGTTTATGCTTTATAAAGTTTGAATTCTGTATTTTATTTCTCAGGCATTTAAAATATTTACATTTTAATCTTAGAAGACTCTTTTTAAATAATTTGAGTTAGGTTCATTATACTACTTTTTAATTTTGTGAATTTATTGCTCTGACAACTAAAAACTATTAATAACTTTGTATTTCTTTCCTAAGGTTAAGTGGGAGTCTGGTTTCCAAATGTTTCTAATGATGCTTTGCCTTTCTTTCTTTTAAGCCAGATAGAGATGTCATCCAAACATCTCTGATTTTCTCTTTTGGGATTTTCATCCCATTTTTACCAAATATATTTACTTGCTATGGGTCCTTTTTTGGCCTTAGCAGTTACAATATTATCAGGATTTTTTTCCTTTAGGAATTAAATACAAACGTAACCATATCATGATTAAGTAGTCATTTGATTAATATGTTTTTAAACTTAACTGATATCGAAGCTAAAGTTGAACCATACCTCCAAAGGACACTGAGGCTAGTCAGCTAGACAGTAAACTTTGAGTAGAAACCTGTCAAATATCCAGCAAGTGTTCTACAATTTAAGTTCAAACATCTGAAGGGAAAGAAGAAAACTGGCACAAGTAATGGTATGATACCACAGTAGACATCACTGGATGGTCTTAGTGTGACTTTTTAAATATTGAAAAGAATTTAATCTATGAAGTCTTGTTGGAATGCTTAAACATTTCTTGGTAAAGAGGTGGATTAGAATCTTACAGCAGCTTTCTTGAACTTAATTTTGGTAATGTGAGAAAGTTTTAATATATTAATAAATGACATATCTTTTCTTAATAAATTATTTTGTCTCTATTTCCCTATTCCAATTTTATAGTGCGTTCAGATGTAAATATGTAGGTGATAAAATACAATATCAGAGTTGTGTGCTTAAAAAAAAGGGCATATATATTAATTGTGTCCATATGTTTAAGTTATTTCTCCCCTACCCTACATCTTAAATAAAATTTTACAATATTTATTGTTGGTTACTAAGTGCTGTACTGAGTTAACTTGTTTCCTCAGTTAGATTAAAAAGCCTAGGTCAGAGAGACTAAAATAGTCTTTGTTAAGTTGAAGCCAAATACTACACTGTCACTAAGCCAAGTTTACTTTCCTTTACTTTTATCTCTTATTTCTTTCTTCCTTTCATTCTGTCTAGTATGTGTATGTATATTCTCTCTATATATATTGTCTCTTTTTCTATATATAGCTATAAAATCATGCAAGTATGAAATAGTTGGCACACACAAAAACTATAGAATACACAGCTTGTTGAAAATCTCTTCATAATATTTCCATTTGAAGATCCATTAATACATTCTCTAGGTAATATTTGAGATGCTGTTTATAAAATATAAATATGTGGTTTTACTGCAATGTCTTGAAGTATTTGCATAGTCTTTTTTATTACTATATATCTCAACATCTGGAATGCTGCCTGCTGACTTCAGGTTTTATTATAGAAAGTAGTAACAGGCTATTTACAGAAATAATTGGGAATTGATGAATAAGAATATTTAATAAAGCAAGCTTTTTTTGAAATGTTTTAATATAATATTTTATTCAACACTAGACTGCTCTGTGATTGTGGTAGTAGTGCATTTCTTAGCTGCATCCCTCCTAAATTAAGTTGATTTGCATGGACATTCACTGGGTAAATATTTACTGAGCACCTACTATGTGCCAAGCTGTAGAAGCACAGAAATATTAGGCAGTCTCTGATCTAAAGGAGACTTATAGTCTGATCAATAAGTTGGAAAATTAAACCAGTAATTAGAATATTAGATAAATAGGCAGTAAAAGTTTATGCATGTTGCTACAAGAGCAAAAAGGGAGGGACAGCAACAGTCTGGGTGAGGTCAAGAAAGATCTCCCAGAGGCCAGAGATGCCTGAGCTAAGTCTTCAAGAATGAGGAGGAAAGAAACCACACAGAGAAAAGGAATAGAAAATATATACAAGGGTTTAAAGGCAATATGATGTTGATTATATGTCACATTATAGAGTGGTGAAATGGACAGTGGTTGGGGCTAGATAACTATTCATCTTAAAGATGAGTAGTTGGTAACATTTATTGAGTGCTTGCTTAACCCTAGCCAGGCACTGTGTTAAGTCTTTAATATATATGCTGTAATAATATCACACACTTACTGATAGCTTAGTATGTGCCATGAACTGTTCTAAGTGCTTTATATTATCTCATTTAATCCTCACAACTCAATAAAATATTGACAGTTATTATCACAATTTTTAGAAGAGGAAATTAAGGCACAGAAGGTTAAGTACCTTGCCCAGAATCACTGAGCTAATATGTGATAGTGGTAAGATTTGAACTGAGGCTGTCTGATTCCAGTGTCTGCATACTTAATCCTATGCTGTGGTGCTACCCAGGGTAAGGATTTGGAACGGAAGGCTTTGAGTCACATAATCAAATTTGCAACTTAAGGATTGAACATCTCCTTGCAAGTCTGAGTATATTCAGCCCCTTAGAAGAAATATGAAGGCTGCCAGCTAATGCTTATATTTTTGGTCATTGTAAGATACTTTTATTCTCAGTATAGTCTTGCATTAGAAGTTAAAAAAAATAAATTGTTTAAAGGCAGAAGCACTCTGTTAATTTTCAATGAATCTATCTAGGACATTGTCTAGATTGACCCGACTTTAAGATAACCTAAAGCCAAAATGTCTTAATAATTATTGAAGGTGGCTAATGGATATGTGGGGATTCATTATCCTATTCCATAACAAAAAATGTTACATAACTGAATGTCTAAAAAGTGATCACCTAGCACCAAAACTCTCTAGGTGAAGGAGAGTTCATTAAGAGCAGTTGAGGCATTTGGTAATGTCTGTTAAGCTACCCTATTACCAACCCACCTTGCTGAACCGTACAGGGTTTAAGGATGCTTGTATGTTTCCTGTTATTTCACACCTCATTTATGCCTTTAAATTTTTTATTGCTCTATATAGAGGGCTGAATAGGCAAGTGAAGATAAGGCAAGAAACATAATCACTTGAGGGACTTTTTCAAATCATACATATTACCCCAGGATTTCTCACTTGACCTTAAGAATTACTACTATAGTGAGACAATGGAGTGTTGTCCTATCCTCCAGTATGCTGGATCTGAAGAAATGAGAATTACTGCCTTTAGTGACATCTTTCAGAGCTTCCCTGAGAGACTCATTTGGTTTCTTTCTAATAGCAAATACCAGCCTTTACTTAACACTCCTTATCCTCCCCTGCAACCTCAGTCAGCCCTCATCAAGAAGTGTGCTCATCTCTCAAGCTTGGTTTTGTCCCCAGTCCAACCATAGATGAGCCATAAGGGTTCCTGGCTAGCTTGCTATATAACAGGCACTCAGTAAATTTTTTGTTGTCTAAATACTATGTGCAAGGTACTGTTCCACCTGTTGCACATATATGGTATTCAGACCCTTCTAGCAGGGGTCCCTGACCGCCGAGCCACAGCCTGTTAGGAACCAGGCTGCATAGCAGGAGGTGAGTGGTGGGCAAGCATTACTGCCTGAGCTCTACCCCTGTCACATCAGCCACAGCATTAGATTGTCATCGGAATGCAAACCCTATTGTGAACTGCACATGCGAGGGATCTCGGTTGCACGCTCCCTATGAGAATCTAATGCCTGGTCATCTCAGGTAAAACGGTTTCATCCCAAAACCATATCCACCCCTCCAAGCAGGTCCATGGAAAAACTGTCTTCCATGAAACCAGTCCCTGGTGCCAAAAAGTTTGGGGACCAGTGCCTTATAGTGTAGTTGTAGTGACAGACATAAATAACATTACAGGAAATTCTGAATCAAGTATATACTGTAATGAGCAGTATGAACAGGTGTAATATTATTTAACAAGATTAGGGAAACTTGGTAGAACTCAAACAGGGTTTTCTAGAGAGGAGTAGAACTTAGAAAACTGAAGATAAGAGTGACCATTCTAGGAGGGTCAGTGGCATGGTAGAAAATGTAAGGCAGAGATGGCTTATATTTGTAGAAGAAAACCAGCTTGACTGAAAAGGAACACTGGTATAAGGTAATAGATAGAATGAGAGAATAAAAGTTAGAGAGATAGGAAAACCTGCAATGCCTGGCATTAGCTTTTATCTTTTAATTACTGGAATCACTTGAAGACATTTGATCAGAGAAATATTGCATAAAGGCGAGTTTGGGAAAACTTAGTTCTGCAGGATATGCTGGAGGCAGAAACTGAATAGAGGGGGAAAACCAGCAAAGAGACTGTTATAATAATCGATACTTGAAATTATAAGGGGCCTAGATTCAGAAAGGAGTGATGAATGTGATAAACTTCGAAGTGATTGGGCTTAGTGACTTTATATGTGAAACAGGTAAAATTTTTAAAATGTAGACAAGATTCTGAGCTTTAAAAAATCAGAAGAATCTAATTCTTGACTGAGAAATGCTAAAATAAAAAATAGTATTTTAAGATTTTAGATGTGCTAAGACATACATGTGCTTACACACAAGATGGCCAGGGCAAACTTCATGGGAGTGGGCAATCCTCTGGTCATAGGACTGGAAACCTTTCAGATAGGGGCAGAGTTTGAGGCCCAGTAGAAAAAATTTCCAAGAAAGCAAGCTTAAGTTGAGTGAATCATAGTGCTAAAAGAGAACTCACAGTAATAAATTTATTTATGGATGACAAGTCAGCAAAAGACAGAGATTAAAGGAGTAGACTACAGAGCCAGTCTAAGCATTAAGCCATTGAAGCCACAGAAGGGAGAATCTCTGTAAATTGCTTCAGAGATTAAGATGAATGAAAAATGGCAAATGAATTTTAAAAACAAGGAGGAGAACTGGAATTATCAGTTGATGATATACAGTGTGACTATAAAGTTTTGAGATCATAGTCATTACCTTACAATCTTATTCTATAATTTTCACACTTGAAAAAGTCCTTTCTGTTGCATTTTTAATATCAAGAACTGAAAGGTTCGTTAAGAAGTAAAGCATTTGTGTCTGAGAATTCCACAGCCTTTTCAGATGCCTTCAAGACTTGGAAAGAAAATTGATTATTATTTAACCTGTGTGAGAGACTATAGCTTTTATTCTGTCATTGAGATAGAATAATCAGACCACTATATTACGTGATTTAAAAAAGCCTTTTCCTCAGAGTTTTCAGTAATGTGCCACTTGTATTAAAATGTTAAGATTAAAGTTAAGTTAGTTAAAAAGAGGAGATTGGTATTTTCAGAAGTTGTCTCATCCATAACCTTTCATCTCAAAACATTGTTAAGTGCAAAACACTATATGTAATATTAAGGCCAGTTATATTAAATTTGTATCTATAATAAAGATGTATATGCTACAATGTCATCATTCATAGCTTCTCTATCATAGTTGGCGTTACTGCCCATTCTCTCTTCAAAACCCTCATCCTATGGCTTCCATATCACTCTATGCTGCTTTTCCTCCCACCCACCCTCTGACTGCCCTCTCTCTGTCTTCTTCATTACTTCCTCATTTGTACCCTAAATATAAATACTTCTTGAGGTTCTGCTCTAGGTGCTTTTGTGTCTGGGTCTCATGTATTTTCATCCTAGGGCTTAACGAGTATAGTTTCAAACTGTGCTCCAGAGCCCTAAAGAATTCTCAGAATTGTCTCAGAGGCTGATGAGGAGGCTTGTTAGGGATGGTTTCACCCCTGTAAAGTTGAATAACCCTATCTCCATGTATTGAGGTTTCATGTGATATTTCATTTCAAAAAGGAGGTCATTTCTGCTGCTTAAAAACATGCACACATATACAACAAGAGAGAAAGATAAAAAAAAAAGTAACTTAAATTTCTCTTTTATATGAATGACACCAAAATCAATACCTCTCTTCTCTCACCTCAGAGCCATTCTTAGGCTTTTACACATTGGACATACTGACCTAGATAAATGGTTATCACTATCACGTTGGATTCCATGTGTCTGACGTAAAATTTACTGTCTTTCTCCTGCCAAACTTGTTTTCCCTAACAGAAACTCCTGTATTCCTATTTCTGCTCATTGCTTTACTATTCTCTGAAACATGCAAGTTTTTTTTTAAGAAAAGGAATTAGTTTTGTATTTTCTTTATTGCTCAAAGTCATCAGTCCCTAAGACCTGTTGATTTTTCCTTAGCTGGTTCACATATTCATCTCTTTGTTACTATTACCATAGCTTCCATAAGGACCCAGGTGTATAATTCCTCATGTTTTGGACTGCTCTCAGAACCTCCAAAGAAATCTCTCTGTCTCTAGGCTCTTAGCCCTGTGGTATATTTTGAAATCCCAAGCCAGATTTCAGTTTTCTTAAATAATGTATTTCTCATTCTCTTCCTACATAAACTCCTGAGGCATTTCTTCCTTCTTTATTTTAGCTGTGTTAAGTGGGGAATACACCAACTCCCACATGAAATAATAATACAGTACAGCATTTTATTTAGTGCTTTGTATGTGCTAGGTACTGTGCTAAGCACTTTATATGCATTATCTTATTTCATTTTCCAAACAATTATGTGAACTAGGTATTGTTACTATCTCTTTGTAGATGGGAAACGGAGATAAGCTAATTGCCTAAAGTCAAACAGCAGATAAGTGTCACAGTCAGGATTAGCACTCTGAGCCATCTGACATGATAGGCCAAGTGCTGAAGCAATAAGTTCTTTGCCACCTCCCTCCCCTTTTAATCAGGGAGGCATGTGGGCTGCCGGGCAGGAACCACAGAAGGCAACTGTCAAGGAGACAGGTCTGGCTTGTACAGTGCACTCTTGTTCAGGCTGTACTCTTGTCCAGGCTGCACTCTTGTCCAGGCTGGAGTGCAGTGGTGCAATGATAGCTCACTGCTGCCTCGAACTCCTGGCCTCAAGCTGTTCTCCTACTTCAGCCTCCTAAGTATCTGGGACTTGAGGCACACACCAGCACACCCAGCCAATTTTCTTTATTTTTTGTAGAGACAGGGTCTTACTATGTAGGCCGTTCTTGAACTCCTGGCCTCAAGCGATCCTCCTGTCTTGGTTTGGGATTACAGGTGTGAGCCATCATGCCCATCCTTACCAGCTGTTCTTCAAAAAGATATAAAGTTCTCATTCATAAACTAAGTCCATAAGTTCATATATCATAAATTAGCAGTGTTGCTACCTCCTTCTTTGTGACTACCTTTAGCCTTCAGGTTCCCATTTTATGATTTTTTTCTCAAGCTTGTTCTTGATGTTTAATCATAAATTAATTTCACTCTATCAGAAAATATTTGAGATGATGTTCTGAAAATGATCCTAGTCCCTACCTCACTTCCTTTTGGCTCCAATTTTTATTCTTATTAATTTGAGGGTTTTCCTCATCCTTTTAGCCTGGGAGTTAAGCATACTGACTGTTACGGGAGTGTCGAAGTAGCCTTTATATGTGTTTGCTTCCTTCTCTCCCCTCACCCAGCATGTAGCATTTATTCATTCAGCCAATTTAGGGATCTAACAGTGAAGAAGATACATAAGGTCCTGCTTTCATGGCTTTTGTATTTTACTGGGAAGAAACAGATATAAACAAGTAAACACAATGCTTACAGATGTGATAGCACCTGGCATTTAGCAGTTTCCCATGATGGGTGGTTGGTGATGGAAATGGGCATTTGTGTGCTATGTGTGCACCAAGAGCCATAGTAGGAGAGTGCCTTGCAAAAGCACACGTCTTTCAAAAAGAGCACACATACACACGTTCCTCATGTTTAGTGACTCCCTGGTTTAACCATCTCATGCTTAGATGCAACATATGGCTTTTACTTTGTTATTTAGTTGTCTAACTTCAAAGAGACAGTCAACAATAATGCTCTTCCTATGGCAAAATTAATATAGCATCAAGCCACTTTCACAGGTGCTATGTTTCTTTTTTCCTCCTTTTTACTCCCCAGGATGAAATGGGACCTAGAATCAAAGAAGCAATAGTTTTTCTCTATACCTGTAAAAGATTAGCTTTTCATCATTGGGGATGATGCAAGCAGGAAAACCAAGTGCAAGAAAACAGAGATGAAGCCAAAAAGGACAATTTCTGATTGTAATAGCTGGTTTCTGTTTCATATCACTGAGCAAGATGAGAAAGTTTTGCAGAGTTTTAGAGGAACAGCTTCTGCGGTTCTAAATGATGACCTCACCCTCAATGCCCTTGCCAGGTGGTTAGCCCCACTGTGAAAACACAGGTTGATTTTCAGCATGAAACAAGCCAGAGTATGGAATGATATTTTCAGGTGACAGTTGGGGTTCTATTTCCTGTAATTAGCACCTCTTAACCTTCAGACTTGCCCCTGCCCTTTTCAGGCTGTTGAAGCTCAAATCCGAAGTTTTGGACAGACTCCTTCTCAACTACTCATAGAGCCCCATCCTCCCAGAGGTTCTGCCATGCAAGTGGTAAGTGCTATTTTTACTCTCCTCATTTCTTGCCTCTCCTTCAGATCCGCTTGATATTCATAACAGTCTTTCATTGTGCTTGAGTTTCTCCACCATATGTGGGTTTGTTTTTTTATGCAATATTTGTTAACCTGCTAACAACCAGCAGATGTTATTGCATTGTCTCCTGGAATCTTTGAGAAGGTAAATGTTGCTCCAGTGCTCTTGTATTTCATCAGTTGGTGTCTTGTGTTACAGAATTGAAAGGTCCATAATTGTCATGAATCCTCACTGTAGGATAAAGGACTCCAGACATAGGGTTGATGACTTTTCTGGTTTGATTCTCTGAGTTTCTAGATTAGTTTTGCTGTTGTGTTTATTCTTTACATCCCAATATATTTTTCAGTTTGGGAATTTTAAAACAAATTCTAATACATAAGATATTGTTACTGAAGGTCAGGGACCACAGTGAGGAGAAAAATGATGGTTTGGTATAACAAACCACCCAAAACTTAGTGGCTTAAAACAATCATGTATTGTATTTCTCATGATTCTGAGGGTTAGATGAAAATCTTTTCTGCTCTTTTCACCTCGCCTCACTCACACACTGCTTGGGGGTGGGCTGATGTAGCCAGGCTTCTCTTTCCATGTGGCCTTTCATCCTTAAGGAAGCTAGACCAGGCCGCTCCCATGGTAGGAGCAGTCCCATGAGAATGAAGACAGACAGAAGCAGCCAGACTTCTTGAGGCTTGCTTTTGAACCTACACATCATTTATGCCACATTTCATTGGTCAAAGCAAGTCAAAAGTCAGCCCAGAATCATGGGTACGGAAATAGACTTGAGCTACAAAATAAGGTGGCCATTTTACCTTTATAGTTCCTGAAATTTCAGGGGGAAAATTCTTCAATGAGGAAAAAAAAATTGGCAGAGTAACAAATTGAAGTGCGTGATTAAAATAATTTTTAAGGAATAGACTATACATATTGTTTTTCAATTGTCCCTCATAAAAAGAAGTTGCTCATTGCTGTTTTAAATTAAGAATAGAAACTACAAAGTCTGTTCCCGTAAATATAATTAACAATTATATAAAGTCAAATTCCATGTTGTGGTGTAGAGATAGCAGAATTTTGATAAATACTGGGAAGGAAAGAGTAGCAGTGAAGAAAGTAAGAAATAGAGAGGAGGCCCTGCTACCTCTGGCTCTTTTTTCCTTTTTTTTTTTCCTTTCTCTTCCCACATCACCTTCTGTGTCTTTTTTTCCCTCTGTGCTCTTTGTCATTTTCTTTCTTCTTCCAAGATTTTTTCTCCTTCTTTATCTAGCAGTATGAATTGGCCATCATAAGCTATACACATTTTAAAAATTGTTTGCATCACTCTTTCCCCTACATGTTTTTAAATCAGTAAAATCAGATTTAGATGAACGTGAAGAGTGACTTTAGTGGGCAGAAGACTACATAGATAGCAAACATTTAGCAAGAACAATGGAAGATAGTGCCATAAAAATAGTAAGAATGATTTATGTTTGCATTTGGAATTAGCTTTAGTAATAGCTTGCCATTGAGACTCAGGCTGCATTGGTGCTGGCAAATGGAAGCACCTCCTCTGCTCCATTGACTTTCTGCTGGGGTCACTGCCCAGCCTTCTTCCATGGCAGAGGCTTATTGGCTCATACAGGCAGAGCAGCTTTGCTATCCCGAGGGTGAGAAGGCGGGGAAGGCTCATGCTCATATAAGGATGGGAGGCCGTCTTTTCCATTACCTTTATCCTCTGAATTGAATACCTGAACTCCTCTTCAGACTTGCACAAATTGTGTTTTTCGCTTTGTCCATATGTGCATGGGGAAAAGGCAGTTTAAAAAGAAACCAGAGTTGTCAACAAATGTATACTTAATCTGGGAAAACTGATGAAACCTGGCTAGCAATTTCCTACTTGTACCCCAGCCTTGGCTCACAGAGGTACCCAGTATTAAAAGAGGCTTTGTTTCTCTTATCCCTGTTTTACCAGTTGCTCTGCTCATCTGCAGCTGCTGCTGTCACTGCAGAGTAGCCTAGTAGTGTGGGGTATGGTTTTCTTATTTCTGGTGTTTCTCATTCATGCTTTTTAGCCAAGGATATATGATGAAACGCCCAAGAGAGTTTCCTGCTACTTGCCTGCATCAGGAGCTCTAGTCAGGATGGGGTATGGAGGAGCAGACTAGAGGGACAGATATTTGTACGAAGGCAGTGGACATTTCTGGACATGGTGTCTGCAGCTTGCTGTGGAAGGTGGCTGGTCCTTGCCGTGTGGCTTAGAGTTGGCCCACCAGAGTCACTATGTAAACAAGACATTCTTCCTACACATGAGAGATTTTTTTTGTGTTTTTTAAGGGCATAAACATTGGAACTATTCAATTTGAGCCTAATTATATTTATAGTATGAGCTGTTAAGCTCAGAAATATGTATGTACTTCCTTTCAGTGAGATTTTATGATTATGTTGTACTCTGATTTTCTCTGAGTTTATAAATTGACTTTCGTAAATATTATTTAAAAACTACATAATTGAAAAATAAGACTTGGTACTTGGAAATGATGTTCATTTCCTTTTCCCAGGACTTCTTTAAAATTAGCTTATGGGATATTTTCCTTCATGTTGCTCCCTGTTTCTCATTTTTACCTAATTTCACAGAATTCCTTAAAAACTATATAAAACGTTCTTTGTGTGACAAAAACTAGTGATACTAGGGTTTTAAAAATCAAAGGCCACATATTTATTGTTTTTAGTAACATTCAGATGAGCTCCCCCATCAACCATCAATGCATCCCCACACACACACACACACACACACACACACAGAGACACACACAAATATAGCAGAAATTAAAGCCACCTCGTGCTGCGTTAAGTGCATGAACCATAATATACACCAGGTGTAGTAATTAGCAGGCACACGAAGGCTGCCTATTTGTCTGGTTTTGCTGCTGTTGCTGTATCCCCCTGTGTTTTCACACCATCAGATAGTTGGACTTAATTGAGGCCACATCAGATGAGGCATTACTGACACCTTTAATTGAATGAGCATCCAGGGAGGATTAACTCATAATATTGATTGGCTTTTAGCCACTTGCTCAGAAGGGTGTCCGGGTAGCTTATTAGTTGCCTTTATTTACACCTTTATGCAAAGAGTGCAAATAGGAATTCTTAGTGCAATATGTTTTTCTAAGTACTCTTAATAACTTTTTTAAAAGGACTGATAATAAAAATGCAAATGTATTTAATTTTTTATTACCAGTTCTGAATAAATATGTGTTAAATATATGTGCCTCCACATTTACATATTACCTGGTGTTTTGAAATATGGCAGAAGGAAAGCAGCCAGAAGCATTTCATCAAAGTGTTTCAATTCTGAATGATACTAATCAGCTATTAGAAAACAGACATGGTAGGAGAGAATTGCTGAAAATGTACAGTGCAATTACTGTATGATAGCACACCACCACAAAGTATAAATAAAGCCAATAAATCAGAGCAGTGTTATATATGTCTTGGATTATGACATATGGGTTGTAAGAATGTTCCAAATCCTTAGTAGTCTTCAAGATTTATTTGGTTGCTGGTTATTAGAACAGACAGTGTTTCATTTAACATTTTCAATTACTCTGTTTTTTGAAGGAGAAATCAAAAAAGTCTTGAGCTCTAGTTTTGTTTGTTTTTTAACCAACAGGGAAGAGGAACACCTAGGTATTTCTCTTTATTCCTAGCTACAGCAGAAAGCAGTAGCATTTGCATTACAATAGGCAGTGTTTATGATTTGGTACACTATATAAATATATTGTTTTTACAAGTACATTTATGCATTGCTTTCAAACACCTTTATAATTAAGTTTGTATATTACGTTCATAAGTTATTTCTCTACTGTAATAATATATGCATGCAGTCTAACTATTGTTTATAAATGTATTTGTTTTCATTACCTCTTTGTAGTTGTCAAAATCTTCCTGCTAACTCAACACAACTTTTGATGATCTTTGGAAATTACCTTGTCTTGCTTTTATGCCTGTTGTCCATTCTTACTGTTTTTTTAGTGCTAAAAGATCATTATGTGACACGATAGCAACCAGAATGGTTTAATGCAATCCCCAGCACTTTGCCTGTGTAGAATCTAAATCAAATCATTCTTTTAGTTTTTCGTGGCAGTGGGGAGGGAAAGGGAGCTCATAAAATTTATAAATTTTAAAGTGTTTCTGTTAATGTATTCTACTTCAGTCCCCCAAAATTCCAACTAACGACATACATGAATAACAGATCATGACTGCTGTTTCTACAAGCCTTTCTGCTCACTGTGCTTCCACTTACAACTCATGTTAATATGGTCTTCCTCTTCTTTTCCTGCACCCCCTCTCTTTCTTGTCTTTCTTCATCTTTTCCTTCTTGTCTATTTGGGTCTTGTCATGCCCACTCAACAGTATCTCCTCCTGCAGAGTCCATTGATGTTCACAGACAAAGCCCAGCAGGATGTTATCATGGTCCTCAAGTTTCCCTCCAACTCCCCTGTTACTCACGTGGCAGCCAACACCCAGCCTGGTTTGGCAACTCCCGCTGTGATCACAGTCACTGCTAACAGGTTATTTGCGGTGAACAAATGGCACAACCTTCCTGGTAAGTAAAGAAATACCATTATAAGGCATGGTAACTGCTGAACACTGTGTAATACCCACTTAAATATAGCATATCTCAACATTTAAGCTTTTAATTTTCAAGCATTAGTCTGAATCAAATTGTTTAATAGTTTGAAAGGCTTAAAAAAGGCCCACGTGAGGCATATAGTACAAATGTTAAAAACATAAACTACTTTTTAGCTTCTGGTGGTTTATCTTTATTCTTGGAGATAAATATTGTTTCTAATATAGTATTTTAATATAATGATATTCTATATTATGTCCATAAACAGTATATATTTATTTATTTATCAAATGTTTCTCTTTTTTACTTTCATTTTACTTAATAAACACTTGGGTTTTTACAAATTTTTGTTTGTTTTTAGAGACAAGGCCTTGCTCTGTCACTCAGGCTGGAGTGCAGTGGTGTGATCATAGCTCGCTGTAGCCTTGAACTCCTGGGCACAAGCAATCCTCCTGCCTCAGCCTCCTGATTAGCTAGGACTACAGGCACGCAGCACCATGCCTGGCTAATTTTTTTTAACTTTTCGTAGAGATGGGCTCGCTATGTTGCCCAGGCTGGTCTTGAACTCCTGGCCTCAAGCAGTCCTCCTGCCTCAGCCTCTTAAAGTGTTGGGATTACAGGCATGAGCCACTATGTCCAGCCACAGTAAACAATTCTGATTGTCTATTATGTGCCAGAAACTGTACCTTTTTGTGCTTGGCATGGTAGTATTGGTAGTATTTGTTGAGGATAATAGAAAAAAAAAAGAACACTTAAATTACATAGCCAAAATATTGAATATCTGTAAGTACCTTCTGTTCTTCCATTAAATGCTCAACACAGTCATGCTCAACTGAAATAACCATTAGAATCATAAACAGTGCAGATTTAAAGAGGCATTGAAAGTTTATCTACTCCAGCCATGTTTTGCCAGTGAGGACACTGAGCCCAGGGAGCTCGCCTTATTCTGCATCAAATATGCCCAGTCAGTGGCGGAGTTTGAGCCCAGGTTTTCTCACTCAGATTTTATGACCACCCCTCTGTAATGTATTCTCTCTCATTAGAGCAGGAAAGTTGGGACCTGGATTTAGCACTGTTCTCTTTGGCCAGTTAGAATTTTTTTTAAGAAGAAGGAAAATCTTTTAAACTTCTGGAGATTATAGACTTTTTTCCCAAGCCGTTGTTTTAGGTAGGCAAATTTAAAAGATACATTTTAATAGTTCATGAAATTGTCATTAAATCTCTGAAGTGTGCATAAAGCACTGCTCGTTAGAATACCTGAAATGGTTGCAAAAATACAAGTTCTTGAACAAGGACCTCATGCCAAATTAAATGCAACAGCTTTCACAAGGGAACAGAATTGACATTCAAACAAAAACTTGGTACATTGACTAAGCTCAATAAGGTATACCTACCACAAAGAATCTGTAGTTGGTATTAGAATTGATTAAATATAGCCATTTTCCTGGGTATATTGGAAATGAAACGATGCAAATAAATGCCAATATTTGACTACAAAATAGATTTCAGAAAAGGTAGAGACAGTAAAAATGGAGGCAGATATTTAATATCTCTATTATTATGTCCTTTTATTCTTTTTTCTTTAAGTAAACTTCTCTTACAGAAGTAAATATTTATGAAAATAACATACTTATATTTTGGGACTAAATATTACAATTTATTTAAGAAACGTGATTTTTTTGTTTCTCTAAACACTTTTTAGAAGAAAAACATGCTGGTGATATGTTCTATCAAATACACTAGAGGATTTACCTACTCTATGTGCGGTTACCCTTAGAGCTTTGCACCAGCATGTGTGACTTCAGGACCACCAATGATGATGCTTATCCTGGGTGGCTGTTTGTGGCAGCCCTGAGAGCTTCTTCAGTTTAAACAGAGTGACATCAGATGTGAGGAGGGGCAAACCTTGCAACTGCTGGAAAGCCCTGACTGTACTCTGCCCCCATCTTTACTTTAGCCTAGGAAGAGCTGGCTCAACGGGAACTGAGCTGGCTCAACCACAGGGCTCCTCGGTCTCCAGCTGATTTCAAGTTTTAGCACTGATAACCCTAAGCATTTAAGACCCTACGCGTTGATGACTAAGCTTCTGGCTTTCACCTTTCCAGCAAGCTGGTGTCCCTCACTACAAAGCTTGCTTCCCTTAATACCTAGTGGTCAGGTATTATCTTCTCCACTTCCAATTTTTCTATAAATAAATATGTAAAGTGATTTAGGGGTAGAGTCTCACTGCTGGAGTACCACTTAGGATGCATCCAACTGTTCCCAGTCCTGGCTCACCTTTCTGTAAGATAGCTAGGGGAACTGCAAGGTTCTGCAGAATCTTGCCTATATTTCTGTTCAGTGAGCTTTCATTGTGTCTATAACCATGTCATTAGAGATGTTTGTCTTCACCCTTTCCATACATACTGCCTTTACAGTATGACACAGCAACTTTTCACCAGAAAAATACAAAAAGCGATAACATATGGGAATACACCACAGGCAGTTATCTTTCTAGAATGTGATCTCCAATTTGAGCTGCACCTGCAACTAAGAATATTAAGCGTTTATTATATTAAGTCTATGCTTCATTTTAGGTATGTTTACATAAATCTAACCTTTCATTCTATCTCTTGCTACCTTTACCTGTCACTATGCCTTGATTTAAAACAAACATCAAAAATCCCTGACAGTTTTTCTTTGGTAAATATCAAATCCATATTACAATATTTATTTTTTTAATTTTAGGTTCTGTTTCTTTTCTGAGGATCTATGATTTCCATAGCTCATTCATTAGACAGCTGGTTCCCCTCAGTTCTTTGAGTAGTGTCTGATTTAGAAAATAAATAATCTTTAACCTCCCTTCTCATTCAAAGGATCTTGAAAACCTCCAAAAATTAGAATAACACCAGCAAATGTTTATAGAGCATTTTTCTAGTTTCTAAGATTTTCCTTCTTCTTAAAAAAAATTCTAACTGGTGGCCAAAAAGAACAGTGCTGAATCCAGGTCCCAACTTTCCTGCTCTAATGAAAGAGGGGAGAGGTGGTCATAAAATCCGAGTGAGAAAACCTGGGCTCAAACTCTGCCACTGACTGGGCATATTTGATGCAGAATAAGGCGAGCTCCCTGGGCTCAGTGTCCTCACTGGCAAAACATGGCTGGAGTAGATAAACTTTCATGCCTCTTCAAGTAGTGTTTTAATCATTTTATGTGTATTAACTCAATCTTCTTAACAACCTGAGGATGTAGGTTCTGTACTTAGGTTGAAACCATATGAAATCGCGTTTTTTTATAGGTCAAAACAGTCAGTTATTGGCAATTTCATATGGTTCAATCTAACCTATTTTATAGATCAGGAAATTGAAACATAGAGATTACATAACTTGACCAAGTTCATACAGCCAGTCAGTGGCAGAAGTAGGATTTGAAGCATCAGCAAACCTCCTTAAACCCATTTCACTGACAGTTTGGTTTAAATGTTTCTAAGATCTCAGATTATCAGAGAAGTAGAGGGAAATTCTAAAGGTATTAATGTTGATTGACACTGGTATTGCTGGAAGTAAGTGGCACTATTGGGTAGACCAGAGGCTGTAGTGCATTTTTCCTGGTCCTCCCTTGTGAGTATCCTGTGATTTCTTTGCCAGCAGAGACAGTAATCAGCAAAGACAAATACCTTTTGGGTTTTTTTTAAAAGAGCCGTTGTGGTTTCTTTTCTTCAGCTACTTTAGTTTCTTATACATACTGTAATTTCTAGTGCCAATACTGTACTTAGGTGTTTTATCAGTATTAATGACCTTCCAAACATCTTTAAAAAGTTGGTATTTACTAACTGGAGAAACTATGACAGAGTAAGTATAAAATAATCTAATGAACTTATTGAAATGTACCCCATATTTATTTTCAGCCCCTCAAAGACAGATAGATTTCCTAAAATCTTATGGTAAGACAGGAATAATATATGGTAATCACAGGAGAATAGAAAATTCCAGGCAGCAGTTTCTTGACTATCAAAAGGAAACTGTTGAAATAGCTGCAGAAGCTAAGATCTGATAAGACCCTGAAAAAACCAGGGTGCAGGCCAAGCTGGCTGAGACTGTCTGGACCCAACATGGTGCTGAGTTTGATCTAGGTTTCACATAGGACCTCATTATATGCTCATTAACATACAAATCACACACCCACCAGGGCCATGACCGTTCCAGGAGCACTCATATTTGGTGTAAAAATGGATGGCACCACAGTTCTGAGAAATTGCCACCTTTTTCCAGGAATCTTCATGAACATTCCACCCCTTGGTTAACAGAAACCCATAAAGATAGGAACCCCAACGCCCCTTGTCCACGACTCTCTCTTGAGTACACCCACACTCCCCTTTTGAGTGTGTACTTTTTGCTTTGCAATAAATCTCCATACTTTCACTATTTTCTGACTTGTCCTTGAGTTTCTTCTCACCACAGTGTCAAGAGCCAGGGTTGAGGTCCCACTGGTGTTTGGGGACCTCCCCTAGCCCACCGGTATCAATGGCATTAAGCAGAGCTCTAATACCAACCAAGCAATAATGTGAATGCTTGTGAGTCTATAAAAAGTAGATACTGAGCAGGGTGAATGGCTGAGTCGTTTGGGGAAAATAGTTTGGAAAAGGGCCCAGAATTTAACTGTCAGAACTATGAAGCTGAAAAGATAATCTATTCTGAACCCTGTTTTAGGGTTTATGATTTGCACAAGGTTGCATCAGGTAGTTCCTGATTCCTGATATACTTCCTCTCTACCGAAAGTCCTTCTCCCTTTCAGAGGGAAACAGCCTGCAAAACCTCTCTTCAATTATAAAATAAGTATGCCTGAATCTTTAAAACCATTTTGAGAATTGAACAAAGTATTCTTAGGATAGATTGATTTTTGTTATTCATCTCCTTCTCAGAGTATTTTTAAATTGAAACCATGGAAATATTAAATATTAATAAAACTTCTTTTTAAACCCTCAATCCAATCTTTAAGAAAATATTTCAGCCAAATGCATTTAACTAAAACATTTATCTGCGGATAGCTTTCTTTATTTTTATTCAAACTTTCAATTGATTGATTTTAAGTGATGGATGAAACACTAAATGTTCCCTGACTTAGAGCTTTCCCTTTCTCCATCATAAGTTGACATTTTTGTAGATCCTTTGTGCTGTAGCATTCAAAACTGCCTTTTTAAGAAGTAACAAAAAAATAGTATTTGCTACAGTCAGCAGATGGTTGTCACATTTTGTTTTCAGTGCGCTTTACCACTTAATTTTGTTTTGTTGCAGCATCAGAGGTTGCCAGTCAAGCATCTGCTATAGCTTATGGCCTAGGACTGGAGCCACTGCTGATGGCACAGTTCAGAGCGGCACTAATCTAAAATAAATGTTTAATAAGCTAGCCATAAAAGCACCTGGATTTTTGTTCTTTAAATTTCACAAAACTGCATGAAAGATTTAGAGATTGGAAACAATTCTACATAAGGTTTGACTTATGCATTTTTATGTAGTTTAGTATATAAAAAATAATGCCTTTTTTCTTTATCTTTTGTGAATTCCAGCTCATCAAGGTGCTGTACAAGACCAGCCATACCAGCTGCCAGTGGAAATCGATCCTCTCATAGGTCTGTCACTTCCTTCTCTCTTTGCGATTCATTAAGCTCTGTATGGTGGCCCTGAAGTGTAGATTACAGTTGTTTTTCACTTGCTGGTTGCTGGGAATGGAATTTTCCTGATAAACCATTTGCATGCAAATTGGAATGCAATGAGCTGTGGCTATGCTGGTATTTCATCAACTCCCCCTCGTTGGTTTGCCTAATTTGAACAGGCCTAGGACGCGTGTCACTGAAAATTAATATGGATGCTGTAATAATGTGTGATTGAGAATGCGCATGAAGTACTGTCAGGATAATATTGGATCTTTTCATCACTCAGACTTGTTGATGAGCAGGAGCAAGGCACGTTATGATGAATTGGTGCACCGGTAATGTGATGGAGCTCCTTTGCTAGGAAAATTTTCATAATAACAGTGGGGTTCTTAGCAGCACTGCGTTATGAAAAATAAAACTGTAGTGCCAGGGTTTCATCATTAAAGGAGATCAATCCTTTCTTCCTAGACCTTCTGTTCAGTCTGAGGGGATTAATGTGCAATTGCAGAGCAGTTTCAAAGTTGAAATATATTGCCCAGCCAATGGTAGTGTTAAGATATTTGTATTCATTTTCCTAGGGTCCTACAGCCCAATAAATTGCCATTGGAGGTTAAATTTGTTCAGGGGAGAAAAAAATAGGGAGGCGACCAGAAAGAGCCATTGGGATGAAATGAGCATCTGCAGCAGATGACTTAGAATATTTAATTGCTGTTAGGCTTTTTGAGTAGATTAGTCGAAATCTCTAGTTTAGCATTTTTCATCCTTACGTGTGGGGATTTCAAATGTGGCATCACTAAGAATGTTAAGCCTCGATTTTGAAGATGTTATTTAATAACTTTTAGAATAAAAACTTACTTGCCTACCTGTGGTGTAATGCTATCGGCATAGATATTTGGCTTGTAATTTTGTCAGATTTTCCTGGCACAAATAAATTTGTTAGAATTTTAATGTTTTTAAAGAAAGCATATGAATGAAGCAGATTTATTATTTTAAAATCCAAGATGTTCCCTTTATATAGTTACCATTTTTGTCTTTAAAAGGCATTGTTTCAATGGAGAGCTAAATGGCTACCATTAGCAGGTAGACTATCAGGATGAACAGAAATAACCTTAAGCTCTAAACCAATTCATTTATCATTTCCCCAAGTATAATCAGAAATCTAATACGTAATTATCTACATGAAGGATAAATACCACTCTGGTTCTTAAATCTTGTTTTGTTTTGAGTAGATATGATTTGCCATATATTAAAAAAACTAAAATGCTCACTTGGGTAGTTTAAAAGTCAGGAAAATAATAAAGCCCATTTGCTGAGTCATTTAAAGCATTATTTCTGAATTTTAGACCCATCATTTTCTTTGCACCTTGACAATGAATATCCTATGCTATCAAGTCTAATTAAATGAATTCATCAATTGTTGTAACCCTTTAGGGTAAGCATGGGTAAACTTTTTTGGTAAAGGGCCAGATAGTAAATATTTTAGGTTGAGCACCTCTAATCTGCAAATCCCAAGCCCCAAATACTCCAAACTCTGAAACTTTTTAAAGACCAACGTGACAAGACAAGTGGAAAATTCCACACCTGACCTCATGTGACAGGTCACATTCAAACACAGTCCAAACTTTATGTCAGGCACAAAATTATTTAAAATATTATATAAAATTACCTTCAGGCTATATATATATATATATATATACATTATATATATTCTATATGAAACAAATTAATTTTGTGTTTAGACTTGGCTATCATCCCCAAGATATCTCAATCTATGAAAATATTCCAAAATCTGAAAAAAAAATCTGAAATCTAAAACACTTCTGGTCCCAAGTGTTTCAGATAAGGGAAACTCAAGCTGTTCTTAACTCTACCAGTATAGCACAAAAGCCACCATAAATAAAAAAGAAATGAATGAACATAACTCTTTTCTAATAAAACTACATATACAAAATCAGGCATGGGCAGGATTCAGCCTTTGGCCCTAGTTTTGCTGTCCCTGCCCTAGATCACTGGTCAACAGACTTTACACTTCTACCTCCTAAAAGAATTATTTAAAACCATGTATCCTCTCAGACAATTTTTAAGTTGACATCTAAAAGTTTTCATCACAAGTTCAAATAGTTGCAAAGGTTATACATTCTGGCATAGTGTAAAAATTGTTTAATATATCCAATAGAATCTAAGTATCAGAGTGAATTGATACTCAGTAAACAAAATTTTAATATATCCAGTAGAATCTAAATATCAGAGTGAATTGATATTCAATATTTTCTGTTTCTAAAAAATACATTGAAAACCCCTTAACATATGGAAATTTCACATTATTACTTTTTTATCTTGAATTTATATTTTCATTCTACTTCCCCCAGATAATTTTATGTTAACTTTAAAAAATTGATTACCCTATTATGCTTTTCAGCCATAAAAATGTGTTTGCAAAATTAAGCATATGTGTTCAATTTAAATTTTAAAATTTCCTATGACCATAAGGCTCAGCCTTTAAAATAAGTTTATCTGTATTGAGTGATTATTACAAATATTAATGTATTTATTTAATTATATTATAAAGTTTAATAAATGTTTATTTACATAAAATGAACATTTATTAAAAATACATCATCAGCAGGTCTATCTTACTTGTTTTTATAGATGGAACCTCTGAGCAGTGTTACTCACTTAGGAAAATAGATGGGAAAGAGCTTTGTTTCAACTGTACCACTCAAATCTTTGAACTCTCTGCATTAGTGGCAATTCATATAGTGATCTATTATTAAGAGTTATTTTTATGGTTTATTATTAAGTAATCTATAATTTTAACAGTCTATCATTAAAACTTATTTTTAATTATCTACCAATTGACAGCATGATTGGATCCTTATTCCATTTTATTGAAAGCAGTAAATTGGAAACCACCTGACTTGCAGAATGATTTGATACTTATACATTCACTTTTCAGTATTACCTCAGTATTTTGAATTGTCCCTTTATTGGGGGCAAGAAATTACACTCAGCTAAAGCACATAGTAAGATTCTGTGTGGAAGGGAAATATGTCTTTATTTTATCTAGTAGAAGAAGGGCGTGAGAAAGAAGAGGTAAGAAAGGAAAACTCACAGGAGAGTTCTCAGGCAAATCAATTTCAAGCAGTAGAATATATTAAAGTTGAGGAATTAGAAAATTACTGGTATTAACTTCTGAACCTGTGTATCTCTTAGGAAGTCTTACACCTCCAGGGGTATGCATACCCTAGTTTGAAGACTGCTTATCTAGATAAATATACCTTAGCTGGATGGGGGACTTGGCAATGTTAAATTACAAGTAAGCACTTGCTTAGAAAATAGTTCATGTGTGTGCTGAGGGGGCATCAAGCCTTTGCCAATGGGTACTTTGTGGTCACTCAATTCAAAATTATGTACATGCCCAAATCTGCTGAGGTCCTCCCAAGAGATCATCCCAATCCCCCAAGAAAGTTCAGCGAAAGTTTATATCATAGGAGCAAAAGTCACATAAACACTGACAAGAATAAACATGTTTACAGCTCTCATGTGGAACAAAGTACTGCAGTAACCAGTGCAGAAAGTACCACATACCTTGTTTTAATTGCTAGATTTCTTGGAATTTAAAAAAAAATTGTATCATACAACTTCATTGCAATGGGATACTTGATTGCTGTTGGTGGACACTGTCTCTCTGTAGTAACACTATGATATCCACAAAAGCTTTTATTATCTGCCAGCAACTTCCCTTTGTTAGAAGGAGAGGGAAAAAATGATTCCCAACTAGGATTCTGCCCTTTTCACTACTGCTGTCACTTTCTAGCCCATTAATCCTCCAAAAGCATATGAAGCCTCCATTATCAAACAGTTATCCAATAATCTTAAATGGTTGTGTCCACAGACATTAGCAGAATTTCTGCAGTGTTGCACATGTATGTGTACGTGTGTGCCGTGTTGTGTGTGCCATGAGGGCAACAGATCCATCAGTCCTCTGTGTCCCCAGTGGCTCCCAGCACAGCACTGGAGAGTATTTTGAATACTTTTTTTTCTTCTGTTTTACTTCCTGAGCTTTCTATTAAACTACCCACATTAATATAGTTATTACATACAATGAATAGCATATAAATATTTTTCTATGTTTGATTTTTCAAAAAATTGAAAATTATGGTGAAAAGCTTAATAATCGGATGCAGAAGTTTGTTTGTTCTGATTTCTGGTACAATCAAATTTCTTTAGCAGCATCAGAATCCTTACTTGTACTGGAGAGATGATGGTGAAATAACCCTTAGATCACTAGAAACAAAGCTTTCTATTTGGTTGGCCTCAATGCCAAAAAAGTCATCTCAGTGAAGATTCCGTTTCTGATAATGGCACAGTCGATGGTGTATTTCTGGACGATTATTACTCTTCCCATGTGCTCGGTGTTGCTCTATGTCTGACCTTTTTCTTGGTGACAAACCCCGTCTCAGGTGCACCGTAGCACTTTGAAACACACTGCCAAGGCTGTCTTGTTTTATTGCTTAAATAAGGAGTAAGAAAGTGGCAGTCTGCTGTGCTTTGACTTTTTCAATTACAGGAATCTTTAATAAACAGTCATTCTACCCTTTCCTTACATGCAAGTGCAGTTGTAAACAGGGGAAATGGGAGTTCCCATCTAGTCAAATTAAAGACCCGTTAAAGCCAAAGTAGTACAAGATGCTACAATATTTCAAATATATGACATTTAAATCCTAATATCTCTTCCTTGTGACAAAATGTTAAAGGTAATAGATTGTCACAACATGAACCATTCTCATGACAATAAATGTAATGAGATTGTCAGAAACACAAACCTAACTGTGATGCAATCTGGAGATTGTAATCTAGTTTGGTTCTGCCCAAGAGCTAGAAAGCATGTTCTGTGAATTGTGTTCTATTTTTAAATAGTAGTGTGTTATTCTTTCTTTCCTCTAAGCAAAATTTTTAACTGAGATATTGAATTTAGCTACCCACATTTTTCCAGCAATTGGATATGTTTTCCTACTCGGTTTTTCAATTATTATACTTAGAATTAAGGATCAAGTACTCTTATCTGGGAATGTGTCTCCTCTTCTCCCTCACTATAGAATTTCTTTGCCCATGTGGATTTAATAGTTGTTTTTCCTCCCTATTCTTACAGCCAGCAATACAGGAATGCACAGGAGGCAAATCACTGACCTTTTAGACCAAAGTATTCAAGTGCATTCCCAGTGCTTTGTCATCACTTCAGACAACCGCTATATTCTCGTCTGTGGCTTCTGGGATAAAAGTTTCAGAGTCTATTCTACAGACACAGGTAATTTTCATTTTCTTTATCAGTGAACTAAAGTTTACTATAAGTAGTATTGAGAGGCTTAGGATGCATTCTTATCTGCTTCCTTCCAAAAATTACAAAATCCTAAAATTTACAAAATAGGGAGAAGAGGGCATTGTTTTCCCTCTTCAAATAATAATCTACTATATATAGTCCACTATTAAATTTGCTACAGCATGTTTGTAAGAGACAGTTTTTTATAGGTTTGTGACCCAAGCTCATGCTTACAGAATAAATGATTCATTTTGAAGGCAAATCCTGGTATGTAAATACCATGCATGAGTATATGCATAATCTTACGGCAAGTGCACACACACAGAAGTGTATTTTCTCACTTTTGTATTATTTAAAGGATTTTCTTTTTCCTACTTGAAAGACTCATTAAGTCTAACTCTTGGCAGTAGATATCTTGCCTCCACCCAATTCTGCCTAGAATCTTGCTGAAATCTACACCATCATGAAGAAAAGTAGCTGACTATTGCTTTTATGTGTGACAGGAGCTCTTGTTAAAATATAAAAATTTTCAGTCTATATATTCATTTACATGCATCTCCCTAAGGGACAAACCAAGCTGAGCTCAGTATTACTGTAGGAGATCCGGCTGAGTAAATGTTTACAAATTTTTGCATGTAAGAAATTGAGAAACGTTGAGAAATTTAATGGTGTCCCTTAAAATATTTTAGAAATTGTTACAGGATGAAATAAAGTTATAGTAAATATATAGTTTGATATTTAAAATAATTAAAATGAGCTCTTAATTCTTTAGAGCTAATTGATCTACAGTCGTGTGTTGCTTAACAACAGGCATACATTCTGATAAATGCATTGTTAGGGGATTTTATCGTTGTGCAGCATTATAGAGTATACTTACACAAACTAGATGGGATATTCCAGTATACACCTAGGCTATATGGGGTCACCTATTGCTCCTAGGCTACAAATCTGTACAGCATACTAGTATATGGGATACTGTAGGCAATTATAACACAACGGTAAGTATCTGTGTGTCTAAACACATCTAAAAATAGAAAAGTTACAGTAAAAGTATGGTATAAGAGATAAAAACCATTCCATTGTCTTCTGCAAGTAAAAAATAATAATAATAAAAGATAAAAACTGGCATACCTGTATAGGGCACTTCCCATGAATGAAGCTTGCAGGACTGGAAGTTGCGCTGGGTGAGTCAGTGAGTGAGCAGTGAGTGAATGTGAAGGCCTAGGATATGACTGTACACTACTGTAGACTTTATAAAACTCTGTACACTTAGACTACACTAAATTTGTTTTTAAAATTTTTTCTTTACTAATAATTGGCTTACTGAAGCTTTTTTACTTTATAAACTTTTTAATGATTTTAAGCTTTTCAATTCTTGTAATAACACATAGCTTAAAACACAAACACATTGTACAACTGTACAAAAATATTTTCTATATATCCTTATTGTATAGGTTTTTTTCTATTTTAAAAAATTTTTAGAAAACGAAGACAAAAACATATAAGTTAGGCTAAGCCTCCATAGGGTCAGGATCATCAATATCACTGTCTTCCACCTCCACATTCTTGTCCCACTGGAAGGTCTTCAGGGGCAAGAACACGCATGGAGCTTTCATCTCCTGTGATAACACTGCCTTTTGGAATACCTCCTGAAGGGTTTGCCTGTGCCTATTTTAGAATCAACTTTTTCTTTTTATAGGTAGAAAGACTACACTTTAACAATAAAAAGTATGGGATAATAAGTACATAAACCAGTAACAGAGTTATTTATTATCAAGTATTATGCACTATACATAATTGTATGTGCTGTATCTTTATACATCTGGCAGTGTAGTAAGTCCATTTAAACCAGCACCACCACAAACGTGAGTGATGCATTGCACTACAACGTTACCACAGCTATGATGTCAATAGGTGACAGGAATTTTTCAGCTTCATTATAATATCATGGGACCACCATCATATATGTGGTCCATCGTTGACCAAAAAGTTGTGTTATAAAGCTCATGACTGTATATTATGACAGTAGATATTTCAGCTGGAACAAAGGCCTACATATATCTTTATTTAATGTTGTAGGAATTGAAAAATCTTTTAAATTAAAATTTCTAGTTATTTGAATGCTTTATGGTAAATCATCTTTCAGTCTTATTAATAATCTTTATAAAATGTTTGAGTCCATACTCCTGCCTTAATATAGTTTATAGAACAATTAATTTTTGGTTATTCAAGGAGTTTGTTCTTGAACATCTTTTTAATCTTTATTGTTTGTTATATGGAATTGATGACATGGTTTTCTTATAGTTTGCATCTTTATTCTGTAGGTGTAGGAAAGAAAACATCACCATTCAAGCCTTTTTGATTATTTGGGCTTTTACTAGATGTTTAAGTCTATGGGGTGGATTACTATTGAACCTAAACACTCCTCTTTGAGTCTTGGACATGTCTTTTTTTTCTGCCTATTTTAAAGAAGACAGTTGGAGACAGTATAAGAGACAGTTGGAGTACAGTGGCACAGTTACAGTTCACTGCAACCTCAAACTCCTGGCCTCAGGTGATCTCCTCCTGCGTCGGCCTGCCAAGTAGCTGGGACCACAGGCACATGCCACTACACCCAGCTATTTCTTGTTTTTTTTGCTTTTTTTTTTTTTAAATTTTTATAGAGACAGGGTTCTCACTCTGTTGTCCAGGGTGGTCTTAAACTCCTGGAGTTTTTCTCAAATATTCTTTTGGACTTCATATTGTTTTTCCATATATTTTTTAAGTGATTAAAACATTTTTAAACATGAAAATGAATTTTACACTGTAATATAGAACTAATAGAACTGTAAACCACTCTTTTTGGTTTACAGTGCAAACCATAGAGTAATTCACCACCACCACAATCAAGGTGCAGAGCGCCCCCAAATACCCTGTGCCACCTACTAGAAGTCAACTTTTTACCCCACCCTCAACCTCCTGGCAACAACTAATCTGTTCCTCATCTTTAGTTGTGCCTTTTTCAGAATGTCATATAAATGGAATCACAAACCATGTCAATCTTTGGTTTTGACATTTGAGTGTTTTTAGTTTGTTGACATTCTATATTATTGTTTTTTAAAGACACTCAGTATTAACATTTGTAAAGTAAAGCTAACTTCACTTTCATATAACACTAATAATTAAAATCCTATATTCACACAATTTTATAGAATTTATAAAATTCTCTCACATACTAGATATTGTTTCAGTCTCACAATAATCCTGTGAAGTAGACAGGTGTCTTATCCCCATTTTTCAGATAATAAAACTGAGGTTTAGAGAGATTATGTAATTCGTTGAAATGTATGTAGCTAATAGTGACAGAAGTAGGCCTTGGACCTAGCTTTTTAAATTTTAAATGTAGCACACTTTGTGATCATAGCATGTTGTCTCATCTAGGTGTTACCAGTCAGTCACTGATTTTTTTGGGAAAATGCTGTAATTTGTAACACTAAGTTCCTAGTATGTTTGCCATGTTACATTAGACTTAATAAACCTGATGTCATTCTTTTCCCTCTTTCAAAATACCTTCTAATGTCTTTAAAAATGTGTGTGTTTGTGTGTATAAAACGTACAAATAAGGAATAGCCTTAAACTTCATTTCAGTGGGACTGACTTAGCTTGTGAAATAAAAATATTTATACTTACCAGAAAAGTTGTATAAAAAAAATCTCAAACGATAGTCCTGGTGTCTTTCTTAATATCTTGTATAAAAACTCTGATGCTAGTTTTATTTAAAATAATTTCAGTTAAGGTAAATATGTGTCTGTGATTTTACAACAATAGGAATATTAAATATTTTTTCTTAAGTTTAGCACAGAATCAAGGGAAAATCATATGATCAGTAATATATAATGGCAAAGCTAACACAAGTGTTAAATTCAATTATATTTTAGCACACAAGCCAAAAAAAAAAATCCTTCTCTTATTAGATTGGGGAGGAGGGAGGAGAAACATGGATTGTAACAGGAAATTCTTTAAACATAAATCATGTTTTCGGGCCACAACCAGAACAGCAGAGGCAACAATAAAACCTTCCCCTGGCAGTCGGAATTATTTTCAGGCCACATTTTAGATTCAGTGGTGCAGAGTCCTGAGCTTGAATTTTTTTATTTGTAGCACAGCTGTCAAATAAAACATTAACTAGAAAATTTGTTCTGTCAAAAAAGGGATATTCTAGTGCTTGTGGTAATATTTGATATTAGTGTGTGGAGAGGTGGACTGGTATTAAAGGAAACAAAAAATAAAGGTTGAGGAACACTTATAAGATTATCAGAAAATAATTTACCAAAAAGAGCAGCAGGTATTTATATGCTGTGATTTATTTAGGAGGAGTGAACCTCAACCTTATAGCAATAACAAATATTGCTGAGGAAGGCTGCCAGAACAGGAAAAAGTAAACTTAAAAAAATAATGTTTTCCAGAGTTGAGCCCAAAGTATAAATTGTAAAGAATAAAGTTAATTTGTGTTAACATATAAAACCCTTTAGATGTAACTGCTTAAATGTCACTCTCTCATTTAGATCTTCCCTGACACCCAGTGTAAATTTGTTCTATCTTGTTATTGTCATTAATCCAACCTTGTTCTTTTATAATACTCATCCCTATTCATAATTATATACCAGTCTGGGTTTGTTTAATGACTGTCTGCCCCACAAGACTGTAAAGGCTATGAGGGCAGGGACCATGTCTATTTGTTCACCACTGTATACAGGTAAGAAGGCCTAATGCTTGGCACTTAATAGGTGCTAAGTATTTGTTGAATGAAAACTAATTGTGATAACTTTTTGGAAAACAATCAAAACACTAAAAATTTTGAAAAGGAACCACCATGACTGAATGTATGTTTCCTTACACTGACATTGGAGAAACAGAGCAGTGACTTCAACTCATGAGAATTACCATGTGACTCTTGTAAAACTCTGCCCCTATATTTAATCCATCCCACCTTTACAGCTACATTTTTTCCCTTTGTCCTCACATGAGTTGGAAATTAAGTTACCAAGTGAATAGCTGTTCTTTGCAAGCCTCCTACTGCACTAAGAACACCTGGGTTTCCTCTATGTCGTCTACCTCAAGTACCTGGTTAGTTATTTCACTCCTCCTCACTCCTACAACCCACTGATTGTTGGGTTTCAAATCTGAAATAAGCCTGCCCATACATAATCTATTTAAATCACACCTATATTTTATGTGCTCTCAGCATTTAGGCATAGGCTAAAGCAGAAGTCATATATATACTCTATGATCACATCACTATATGATGTATTCATGATGTATGATGTATATATGATGTATTTCTTTCAGTAGTTAAAATACATGGATTTAACCTTTGATTTTCTAGTTATTAATAAGACTGCTTTCAGCTACCTAACTTTTGTCTTATCCTATGTAAGGCCTGCGTGTAATCTGATCCCCGCCAGTTTACCACTGAACCTCCACATTCTGTTTGTCATGTAAATTGGAAATGAAGTAAAAATTATTATATATTTCACATTTAATTTGCTCAATTTTTTTTAGTTCTTGAAGGTCTTGGATTCTTTTTTATTCTTTATTGATATAAGCTTATTTTTTAATGAAATGTTTTGGTGTCAACTTAAAAGGCTGAAGAAATTCAAAAGTGAACATCTTGAACATTTAGCAGCTAGAGACACTTGCTTTGAAGTCTGCTCTCCCTTAATCACAGGAGAAAAAAAGTACTATATTAGTTTTGCAACTTGAGATTGAAGTGAATCTGATTTTAAATTTATTAGAAGTAGGCTATATGCAAGACTGCCACTCATGAATGAAAACATGTATTTGACTTTTCCATCTGATTTAGATAATATTTCAGAATTTTATTTCTAAATTTTCAGCCTTCATAATAAGCCTTAGATTTATTAAAATCAAGAATTTTAAAAATTTAATGTAAATATTATCTTATATTTATTATCTTGAAAAGTTAAATACACTTGATATGCCAGTACTTGGGACCTTAACCTTTTAAGAAGTTTACAATGTATTACGGGTTAAACACATAACCTATTTAGGCATATTAATTTAATTTTCAGCTTAGTAGCCTTTTTTTCTTGAACATCGGAATTATATTTTATAATCGAAATATAAAAACTTATTTAAAGAAAAAGAAAGCCATGCTGAATATTAAGGGTAGACATTGTATGGCATTCATCTGTAGACTCTGTAGACATTTCAAAGGAAATATGTAAGCTAGAAATTCTAAAGATGGAATGGGGGTCTGTCACAGCTATTTAATTGTTTAGACAAGTTTGTGTGAATTACTACCACCATATCTGGTTAAACAAAGATTCTTAAAGGGTGAGGGCTGCTGGGCACGGTGGCTCACGCCTGTAATCCCAGCACTTTGGGAGGCCCAGGCGGGTGGATTACAAGGTCAGGAGATCGAGACCATCCTGGCTAACACAGTGAAACCCCGTCTCTACTAAAAATACAAAAAATTAGCCGGGCGTGGTGGTGGTGGGTGCCTGTAGTCCCAGCTACCTGGGAGGCTGAGCAGGAGAATGGCGTGAACCTGGGAAGCAGAGCTTGCAGTGAGCCAAGATCGCGCCACTACACTCCAGCCTGGGCGACAGAACGAGACTCCGCCTCAAAAAAATAAATAAATAAAAATAACAAAAAAGGGTGAGGGCTTTACTTTTTTTCTGACACCTTTACATGAACAACTGTTCTGTGTTTGAAGCCCTAGATATATAGTAAGTTTACTGGGTTCCTCTCCTTTGTCCCCAGTCATTACCATCTTGATTTCACCCTCAAGGAATTTTCATCAGAAAATTAAGACAAAGAATCACCTGGCTCAAATTGCAATCACAATATATTAGTTCTTTCATCATAATTTCCATATAATCCTGATTTGAAAAGGTAGAAGCTCTCCAAAGTGTCTTATATTGTCTTTGTATAGATCACTTAAAACAAGAAATACATTAAATCTTCAGTAAATCAGAAATAGGTTTTTATTAGTGACATCTAAATTATGAGTACTTTTACAGAAAAGCAACTAAGTTTAATTTTGAATCATATAGAGTAACTCAAGAAAGTGTTAAAATGGTTCCAAAAGGGTTCTCCTGGGCCTGCTTTAATCAGTAAACATGATTCATTTGTAATTTATAGAAGCCATTTGTAATGATACAGTGCCATGGTCCTCAAGTATTATTTGTTGAAATAGTTTTAACACATGCCTTTCAAAAATGTTAACAATTTTCAATTGTTTTTTTGTTGTTCTTGTTAGCATGCAAAGAAAACTGTTAGGTTGGACCATGTCAAATTATTATAAAATCTGAATTATGACCATCAGAGTTCATATAGCTTCGTTGTTTTACAAGTTATCTGTTCACTAGAATTTTTATTTTTTTAATAGCATTTTTAAAGAAAATTGTTTTGCATTACAGGAAGATTGATCCAAGTGGTGTTTGGCCATTGGGATGTCGTCACTTGCCTTGCTCGTTCTGAGTCATATATTGGGGGAAATTGCTACATTCTCTCAGGGTCACGTGATGCAACTCTTTTGCTGTGGTATTGGAATGGAAAATGCAGTGGGATTGGAGATAACCCAGGCAGTAAGTATGACTCATTTTTTAAGTAAACTTTTACAAGGATGTAGAGAATAACATTTTGCAGTAAAGTTACCTTTTTGTTATGGTAAAAGTGAGACAGGATTATCAAGTATTTTTTATTTATTATAATTTAAGAATGATCCAAATAGCCTCATTATCAATTTTGTGACCATTGATAATTAAAATCTAAGCATGAAATCTTATGTTTCATATTATAGGCTATTCTTATGATCCAAAAATTCTAGTTCTTCATTGGAAATAGCTGTCACCAAATAAAGTAGTTTTTATTCATGAAGATACAGCATAAAAGAGCAATCACATATTACCTTGTTTATTGAATTCATATTTTAAAAGAACAAAATAAAAATAATAATTTCATAGAAACAAACTAGTCTTGATAAAATTATGCTTTCATTTATGTATTAAAAAGATAAAACAGGTCATAAAAGGCCAATGTGGAATACTCAAATTGGCTCTTGGTTTTTCAGATGGGAAATGAAAATGTTCACCAACAGCCTTAAACATCTTTATGAAACTATGCTGAAGGCAGTAAAACAAAAAATGTGTAACCATTTAAAATTGTAATTCACAGAAGGCAAAAAAGGAAGCAGCTACCATTAAAACCAATCGCACACAGCTGCAGAAAAGAAATGGCTTTAGAAAAACACATTAAGAAGTAGGAAAAAACAATTAAAGGGACCACCTGAAAAATGAGAATTTAATTAAAATGATTATGACAACACTGTAGAATTCCTGCAAGAATAGCTTTAGATTTTTACTTCAGAAGGTAGAGCATTTTAACTGCTCTTAAATATTTACAGTTTCTTAATTTAAGGCAAGTTGCAATGTATTTGGTTAAGGAAGGATCACATTCTTCCTGATGACTTTACCTGAATACCCGGTCCTTGCTCTGTCACTCCACCCCAGATTGTGAAATGGTCTAAATATGTTTAAGTCCATCATATCTTGGATTGACTTCTCAAAGCTGTTCTTAAATGTATAATATTTGTATGAAAATGAACCTTTTTTTCAAAACATTTAGTCAAATGCTAGTATAATGTTAAAAGAAGTGTGTGTGAAGTATTTTTCAAAGCTGTTTCTTATTATGTACATTATAGACTTTGATGTGATAGGTAAATACAGTTTTTATTCAATGAACGTCTAATAGATATTTCCTGTTTTAATCAAAAAAGGGATAATTTCCTATGCAAATAGGATATGAAAAATAATGTTAAGCCTGTGATGCTATTGATAATACAGACTTTGTGATCAAATTGTAGTGTGTGTATATGTCGGGGAGTAGGTGTACATGTATTTCACATTTATACAGACATCTCTGTAATTACAATAGAAATTACAAAGATGCAAATTTCAGGGATTTTGTTTTTCATATTCTTTTGAAAAGTACCATGTTCTTTTCATCATGAACACAATATTCTGGTCCTTCTTCCTGTCTGTCCTCTTAGAATAAGTGACTCCTTTCAATTTCTTTTTTCTGGTTTCTGTAAATCCAGTTACCGAGATTCACTCAATTATCTCAGGCAAACCTATATTTAAAATTGATAATAAATCTACCATTTTGCTATTTATCTCAAAATATTTAAGAACTTTTTCTTGCCTTAAAAATGTAAGGTATTTCATGCACATAAAGAAATCTGAACACACATAGATATTTGGGTTCTTGGTTTCTTGTTTTATTTTACTTAATCATGTTCTCTATGTTATACACCGTCATTACCAATGTGTATTCTAAAAAGCAGCTAAAGACCTATTAGCTACACTTGTATGTAATTACTATTGCATTTCAGAAAGTTAAGTATGCCTTAAAGTTAGGAATTTTCAGCTCTTCGCAAAGGAAGAAAGTATGATATATATCATGATATATGTATACATTTAAATATATTTTCATATGTTTAAATACTTTGTAACTCAACCTAGAGATTGTTTTTACATGCATGGCCTTTAAAAAACGAATTAAGTAGGACTGAACAAATCCTGGGGTTTGTAGTAAAAAAAAAATCTAAGTTCCAAGCTTTGCTGTGGTCCTTCTGTCTTGTCTGTAAAATGAAAGCAACAACAGAACTGAGTTAAGGTGTTATCAGAAGCACAGGATGATTAGAGCAAATAAATCACCACAAAACACCATCTTGTTGGCATTAGAGTAAATATTATAATGTTATATTTTTCATAGCGTACTTCATCTATACCCTCTCATTGTCTGCAGTATGGTGGACATTACCTCCTAGTAATGCTAGCAATGAAAAGAAAAACAATAAAAGAATAATATAACAGCACATCTAATAAAAATTTTAGAAAATTGTAATGTATCTTGACTGAATTAAATTACCTTTCTCAAAGTGAACCTTATCCTTTCAAGCCCCTGTATAATGTCTGATGCCCCGATTTAATTTTGCTTCAGCTTTGAAAGATGAATCCAGGAGAAAGACAAATAGGCACTTTTTCTTATAATGAGAATTTACACATATTAGAATAGAAAAATGGAAAATGCAATCTACGCTTTTCAAAAGAAAATGACAAACAAAAACAAAGACATTGTTACCGTGTGTAAACTGTTTCAAACATTCATGCAAGCTGGTTCGGATTTTATAAGCCTCTGGCTCATTGATGGTTCCACAATGCAGCTGCTGAAGTCAGAGCTTTTCAGATGAAGGGTTTTAGGTTATGTGTATTCCTATATTGTACCTCTTAGATACAATGTAAATGACCTTTAAGAAGTGGTGAAGCGTGTATATACATATAATTGCAATATGTTCTATAAATGCACATTAATACCTCAACTTTAAATTTTTTATTGTAGACTTTTTCTTTCTTGAAGGGAAAATAGATAAAAGAAAACCAGGTTATTGCTTTTTCTGCATTTTATAGGTCTATCTCAGGGTTTTTTTATTTAAAAAATCATGGGAATAGGTAGTCATTTTACTTTCTAGGGTCATAAGCCTACATACACTGTTTTTTCCATATCTAATATTGATGTTATATGTAAAGTTGATAGCTGTATGACAAAGTTTTAAAAATATCATATTATCTAATATTAATATACATACTGCTTTGGCAATCTCAGGCTAATTCAAACTGGATAAAACCTATAAATACATCGCTTCTCAGCCTTTTGGCTAAGATCAAGTGTAAAACCTATAAATACTGTAATTTGGGGCTTTAAAAAGTGTAAATGTTTTATGAAGCCTGCCTAGACTACATAGCAAAAGGCTTATTTTCCTGTATACCAGATAGTTTTTCATCTTTGACTCTATTGTTTTGTAATAATTATCTCCTGTGGAATGCAGTTTTTTCAATGAGAAGAAAAATGAATATAGGATTCCATTTAATTAGGGATTTAAAAAATGAAATTAACCAAGAATATTTCACTGAGAGATGTTTTGTACATGAAAGCATGGCATCTCTCTCTCCTTGTCCTAGTACTCTGTGTTTTAGGACTGAGCCTTGTCACCAAAGTGCTTTTCCTGAGATAGTTATTTCACCTTCAGAATAATGCTCTCCAGACTGTACATTTTTAAATTTTGGAGAAAATGTTCCCCAGTGCATTCCATTGATAAATAAATACTTTAAACTTTGACATGATCTTATTTAGATAAGCAAGATGAATATATACAAAACAGTTATTATTTATTCACTTTTATATTCATAAACATGGATTTAAAAAATTAAATGTTTATTAGGTATTTTTAGATATCTGAATAATATCTTTTAAAGCCACATTCGATCAGCTTCAGAAGCAAATGGTTGCTAACTGTGAGGGTGTTGCACAGATTTGTGTGTGTAGTATTTCAGTAATACATTTTCCATTCTCGCATTCTGGTTTTGATTTGATTGAAAGGTGGCATTTTTTTTCTTTTCCTCATTGCAATCAGACATGCTAATCTATGTCAGCTTTCTCCTTTATGGGATTGGCGTCTACTGAGAAAAAAACCTAACTTTTCTTCATAACAACAAGATTCTGTTCTTTAAGAATATTTCAGCACCGTTAATTAGAAAGAAGGTTTTATTAACCATAAGGCTAGCACTAACAGACCACAGAGCTGTTTTTTAAAGTACTGTATGCCATAGCTGCCCTGCTTTTTCTCTGTCTAAAACTTCATTTTGTTATACGCTCATCAATCACTTAAGTCATTACCGTAAATCCTACTGTTGTTAATTTTACTAGTATCACCCTAATGAGACATTCCTGCTATAATTAAAAATGAATTCTAACTTTAAGGCATTCTAAATTTTTTTTAATGAATTTAGAATGATCTTGCCATGTGACTATAAATACTACTGATACACATAGACTACTCATCAAGTCTGTAAGAAAAGTAGTATCATAACATGTCCAGGTGTGAATTATTTACTGGCTGCCTCTGTGCACATGTGCTTATGTGTATGCATATTTTTGTACACATATTTAGGAATTATGTCCTTTTTATTGTGAAGCCTAGTATGTTTTACTGAAGCTACTGATAAATTCTTATTCTTTGTCTTGCCAAAATTTAGGTGGATGTAATATAAACAATATTACTCTCTGTAAGTAGGTGTCCTAGAGCACCATCTGCTGGATGCATTTGGGGACTTAATGTTGGGAAACATGAAAATTGGTACTTGGTTAAGACAGGTGTACTTTGTTTTTAATTGCCTGTGATATATTATTTAAGGGTCACAAATGTCAAGGTATGTACATTTGTGTTGAACCATATGAGTTCTTAAAAAGAAATCACTTTACTCCTCCTTTTACCCTACCCTAACCTGGATTTGCAACTGTACGATAAATATTTTGTGTAAGGAAAAAGCAAGCACAATATTTGCCTAATGAAACAAAGCACCACAGTTGGTGATGAAATAAACTTGTTAGCTTCTTGATCACAGCTCTTCAATAAGTTACCGTTGAGGAAGTTATTTGGATGGTATTTTATGTTTAGGTTCCTTATGTTCACTAGATTCTGAATAAGAAAGTAATGCTTGAAACAAGAAACCATTTTATACCTGGATATGACTCTTGATCTGATCCTTTGTCAGGAACAAGAGTTCTTGTGTGTGTCTCATCAAGACCTTCCCTTCTGGGCCTGCATTTGGAATGTACTGTCACACTACAGCTACCCTGTATTTTTATTTTTTCCTTGAAGCATTTATCAAGAAGCGTTTTCAAATGGTATGTTGGCAGTGTTCAAGTTCAGGTGACATTAAAAGTATGTCTATGAAATTCTCCAGAAGGTCCAGGATGTTTAGTGCTCCATGATGCAATGCAGGCCCTCAAGTTCCAGCAAAACAACTCTGTATTTACTGCTTGTAACTAATAGTAGATGTGGTAAAAAGGAATTATATTCATATGGCAAATGAATACAACCTTAATGTGCACCATATGCAGAGTGGTGGGGTGATATGCCAATATATCACATTTATTTACCTTGTTTGGTTGCAGAGAAAAATGACTGTACCATTCAGCCCATAGGTTATAGCCATATAAATATGAGAACAGAAGAATTGATGATTTATACCCTCAGATTGAGTATCTTCATATGTAGACCTTTTTAATAGTGCCATGCCAAAGAAAGTTGTCTTGACACTTTATGCTCATATGGGAAATTTAATTTCAAACAATAGTTGGCATTAGTCTAAGAAAGTAAAAATTCCTTCTAGTCAACTAAACGTAGGATTCTTCTGCTTTTAAAATATTGCAGAACTCTGTGCCGGCGGTGGGGGTGGGCGCGGGGGGGTGGTCCATAACATTATTGGTAGAACTACCAAGGATACACTTAATTAAAGCTTCCTGGAACAACATAGTAGACTGACTTTACTACCTTCCAAAAACGCTCATTTCGTAAGAGAAATTCTACGACAGCTTTGTGCCTATGTAACTCACATTTTACTCTAGATATTACTGATAATTTATGAAAAGATAACCATTTTTATATGAAATTCAATATTTAAATCTCTGATTTTTTTTTTACGAAGCAACAGTTAAACCCTATTTTTTCTAGTTACCTCAATTTTTATGTGCTATGCTCATTTATATCGCTTTACAGAGCAGAAGTTTATAAGTGTTAACAAATTTTTAAAAATTGATTTTCTTGGTCTTTTAACAGGGCCATTATCTAAGTATATCATTACATTTCATTTATCTGGTAATTTTTTAACAGTAATTTTTTTCACATTCAAGTGAGAAAATGAATGTGTTTGATAAGACTTCAGATTTTGGATTTGAAGTGTTTTTATATAGGAAAAAAATTCTCTGAATTGTTTCTGCCTTTTGTGGCTTAAGGCTGCATGACTGTTGAGCTTTTTAAGCTTTCATTCTTGTAGCTTGTAACTTTGCACAACTGAGAGACTGCCTTATTTCCTTTGGGTGAGTGGGGTCAGGAGTGTTTAATAGCTAAAGATATGAAACTCCTCTATAGTTTTCAGAGTCCCTTACTTACGTATTTTTAACAAAAGAACATTAAAAATGTTAAGGAGGATGTATTATAAAGAATTTTAAATAATTTGGGTATTTAGGATAAATAGATAAAACCAATTTTCAGTTTTAATTTATATTCATAAAAATCAGACAATGTTGCATTGCAACAAATCTGAATAAGATTTCACTTCAGCAAATTTTCTACCTGTTTTCTTTTTGGGGGGTAGAATTTTACCATGTTTATGTTACCAGACACTCATATGCAGCTACAGGAGCCATAGCTTACCTAGAACCAAAGACCAAGCCCCTCCATGGGAAAACAACAAATGAAGTCTCAAGCAAGTAGGAAAAAAGAAGCACATTAGTTAAGTATAGTAATGATATGTCCATGTAATGAAGTCCTGTACAGGCATTAACAAAGATACTATAAATTTGTAATATTGACATGGAGGGATACACTCTTTGTATTGCTAAGTGTAAAAGATCACGAAGCTACATATGTAAGTACCTATGCCTATATGTGTATACACTTGTATTCTATGTACATTTATGCATAGAAAAAGTATGAAATGATCACAAGACATATATTAGCAACATTTATTTATAGGTAGTGGGATTTGGAAGCAATTTTTCATTTTCTTCATCATACTTTACTGAAGTATCTGAATGTTTTATAATGAGCATGTACTACCTTGATAATCAGAGACAATAAAGATACTTTAGGCCGGGCACAGTGGCTCATGCCTATAATCCTAGCATTTTGGGAGGCCAAGACAAGGGTATTGTTTGAGCCCAGGAGTTCAAAACCAGCATGGGCAACATAGGGAGACGCTGTCTCTACAAGAAGTAAAAAAAATTAGCTGGGTGTGGTGCCTGTAGTCCCAGCTACTCAGGAGGCTGAAGTGGGAGGACCACCTTAGCCCAGGGAGGTCAAGGCTGCAGTGATCTGTGGTTGCACCATTGCACTCCAGCCTGGGCAACAGAGTGAGACCCTGTCTTAAAAAAAAAAAAAAAAAAAAAAAAAGCTATTTTAATTTGGGGAATGCACCAAATTACTGTACTGTACCTTCACTCCCCACTGTTAGCCTCTAGGCTGCCAAATATTAGTAGTTGTATCAGAATTTATATGAATTATCAAGGAGAGAACCATCTCTAATTAGCTTTTATGCAGCATAGGATGAAATATACTTTCAATGAAAGGAGTGTTTATAACAGAGTGAAAAAAGGGATCATTCTGTTGCTACTACTACTACTATTTTTTTTTTTTAAGAGACAGAGTATCTCTCTGTCACCAGGCTGGAGTGCAGTGGTGGGATCTTGGCTCACTGCAACCTCCACCTCCCAGGTTCAAGCAATTCTCCTGACTTAGCTCCCGAGTAGCTGGGACTACATGTGGGCGCCAGCGCGCCCAGATAATTTTTTTGTATTTTTAGTAGAGACAGGGTTTCACCATGTTGGCCATGATGGTCTCAATCTCCTGACCTTGTGATCCGCCCACCTTGGCCTCCCAAAGTGCTGGGATTACAGGCGTGAGCCACTGCGCCTGGCCTGCTGCTACTACTACTTATATGATACTAATGGGTGCTCACTACATGCCAGGCACCATCCTGAGTGCTTTACATATTAACTCATTAATCTTCACAGTAGCCCTGTGTGGTATCTACTGTTAGTATCCTTGACTTATAGATGAGGCATGGAGAAATTATAAATATGCCTTTACTTTCTGCCCTGGGCCTTGACACTTTTAGGATCTCCTTACTAGAATTATGGAAACTTGCCCAAGGGAGCTCACATAGCTAGCAAGTGCTGGAGCCTAGATTTAAACTCAGGCAGTCTAGGTCAGAGTTATCTAAACTATACATTTAATTAGAATATCAGCTATAGAGAAGTTGATGCAATCCTATCACTAAAGCATTCTTAGTATTTGCGAGAGACACAAAAAGACAACTGTATTATACTGAGTTCTTATGACAGTACATGTCATGGTAAGATTTTGTATTTTTCAAATATACATTTAAGGGGTATACTTTTAAGTATACACTTGCAGGTACACACTCATATAAACCCATTTTCTAATGTACAGTTGACTTTTGAACAACACAGGAGTCGGGGTGCCAACCCCCCACACCGTCAGAAACATGCATATAACTTTTGACTCCCCAGAAACTTAACTACTGATAGCTTACTGTTGACTTGGAAGCCTTACTGATAACATAAAGTTGGTTAACACATATTTTGTATGTTATATGTATCATATACTGTGTTCTTATAATAAAGTAAGCTAGAGAAAAGAAAATGTTATTAAGAAAATCGTAAGGAGAAAATATATTTACTATGCATTAAGTGGAAGTAGATCATCATAAAGATCTTCATCCTCGTTGTCTTCACACCGAGTAGACTGAGGAAGCAGAGGGCTGGTCTTGCTGTCTCAATGGCAGAGGCAGAAGAAAATCCACAAATGAGTAGACCCATACAGTTCAAACCTATGTTGTTCAAGGGTCAACCTTAGTCTTAGAGGGTGATTCCCGTGTTACCAACATTTATATGTATCATAGAGAGAAGAGGAGAAATGTTATATACCAAGGACTTACAGTTGTTCTTTGTACCAACATTATCTTGTCTTGCATTAATACTTCTAATATTATTTACAAGAAGTTGCTACTAAAATTTCCTGTCTGATGGTTGTTGTACTCTAAATGCAGCTATGGCTTATCATCTATAGTCTATATGTCTAATCAAATTGTGATTTTTCACCAAAGAGACCATGATGAATAGGGGAAGGGAAAAGATTTGGTGAAGATGAAATGTATAGGACAAATTTCAAGTAGTTTTTCTAAGCATAATTAAAATGCAGTATAATTTCCATTGTAAAACTAGGAAGTTAATGGAAAAGGTTTAAGAAACATTTAATATCTAAGCTCATTTCCGCTTTAGCAAAGCCATTTCCTTTCTTGATTTACCATTATGGTGAGCCGCATGAGAAAGCTTAGTATTCAGTTTTCACATGAATGTTTTGTAGTAATCAATTGTAACTAAATGGTACAAAAGGCACATGTAAAATAGAGGTATCCGTCTTTAGGAAATGACTGGCATATATTGTATAATATATTTTTGTTTTTTATCTATAATCTATATGCCTAATAAGTTCATTATGTATTTGGGCTTTTTAAACAAATATATTTTATTTCTTAATTTGTTTTCTATTGAAATTATTACTTTTTTTATAAAGCCAGGTTTTATATTTTGATTTTCCTCTATAAAAGTTCAGATGATACATTTTTACTAATGAAGAAAATTATATTGGTGGTCTTTAAGCATGTTAATTATTGTTAAATATTGATTTTGCATACAAAATTAGTTGTTACAAGTGGTATGGACTTCAGTACTATTATGTTGACCTTTACAAGCATAGATATTTATAATTATAATTTGCAGGTTTATAGTACAGTTGACAAAACCAGATCCAATGATCCTTTAAAATCAAGTTATTTTTAAATAAAAGGCTGTGTTTTACTCCTTTCCTTATTTCCATAGTACCTCACATATCTTAAGAATACAAACTCAATAAATATTATTAAGTGAATGAAGGAGTGAAGGAATGAATGGGTGAACAAGTGGGATATGTGATTTTCTGGCCCAGCCAGGAGTCATCTAAACTAAGTATCAATTGGAAGAAATAATTTTAGTTGTACAAAACTAGGAATAGGAAAATGTTTAATCCCGCTTCATTTCCTAATAGATGGTATTGAGAAAATGGAATGAAGAGGATTCACTCTGCTAATAACAACATATTTAACCTACAAGTGAAAACGTTATACTGCATTTCAAAGTGATCTGATTTTCATAAGAGTAAGGAGATGACGCCAAAACACCAAGAACTTCATTCACTTTTTATAAAGTAACTACAAGTTTGCCAGAAAATACATGTCAGATCTATTTGTACCTGGATTGTCACCTGTTTTCCTAAATGGATATAGGCCTTATGAAATATTCTTCTCACTGGATATTTATGAGCAAGATACTAGAGAAATTCCTCTTTTCTCTTCTTTCAGGTGTAATTTTAAGTGGTTCGGAGTCTGTTTGATAAATATACTTAATGTTGCGAGGGCACCAAAGAAACACAACTAATGAAAACGTTTGCTATTCTGCCAAGTGGTGTTAAAATATTTCACCTAATGTTTTAAAACATAAGTCCATTGTTCAATTCCCACCTATGAGTGAGAATATGCGGTGTTTGGTTTTTTGTTCTTGCGATAGTTTACTGAGAATGATGACTTCCAATTTTATCCATGTCCCTACAAAGGACATGAACTCATCATTTTTTATGGCTGCATAGTATTCCATGGTGTATATTTGCCACATTTTCTTAATCCAGTCTATCGTTGTTGGACATTTGGGTTGGTTCCAAGTCTTTGCTATTGTGAATAATGCCGCAATAAACATACGTGTGCATGTGTCTTTATAGCAGCATGATTTATAGTCCTTTGGGTATATACCCAGTAATGGGATGGCTGGGTCAAATGGTATTTCTAGTTCTAGATCCCTGAGGAATCCCCACACTGACTTCCACAATGGTTGAACTAGTTTACAGTCCCACCAACAGTGTAAAAGTGTTCCTATTTCTCCACATCCTCTCCAGCACCTGTTGTTTCCTGACTTTTTAATGATTGCCATTCTAACTGGTGTGAGATGATATCTCATTGTGGTTTTGATTTGCATTTCTCTGATGGCCAGTGATGATGAGCATTTTTTCATGTGTTTTTTGGCTGCATAAATGTCTTCTTTTGAGAAGTGTCTGTTCATGTCCTTCGCCCACTTTTTGATGGGGTTGTTTGTTTTTTTCTTGTAAATTTGTTTGAGTTCATTGTAGATTCTGGATATTAGCCCTTTGTCAGATGAGTAGGTTGCGAAAATTTTCTCCCATTTTGTAGGTTGCCTGTTCACTCTGATGGTAGTTTCTTTTGCTGTGCAGAAGCTCTTTAGTTTAATTAGATCCCATTTGTCAATTTTGTCTTTTGTTGCCACTGCTTTTGGTGTTTAATTGAACAATGAGATCACATGGACACAGGAAGGGGAATATCACACTCTGGGGACTGTGGTGGGGTGGGGGGAGGGGGGAGGGATAGCATTGGGAGATATACCTAATGCTAGATGACGAGTTAGTGGGTGCAGCGCACCAGCATGGCACATGTATACATATGTAACTAACCTGCACAATGTGCACATGTACCCTAAAACTTAAAGTATAATAAAAAATAAATAAATAAAACATAAGTCCAATATAAATGCTAAGTGGTTAGTATAGAGATCTTGTGTTGCTTAAATGCAAGTTAGGTTGTTATAGTTGTCTCTGTAAGTTGGTATTGATATCTAGTATTACGTACTGAGAGAAGTGCCTCTGTAAAACCTGATGTGCCCTGGTATTTGCAGCAGAATTTGGGCTGTCTTTAATCTCATTTGACTTGTTCATCTTCCTTTAAGGCCATCCATAAAGATGCACTGGGTATCCTTTTCAGCCTTTGGTTAGGATTTGCATCAGTAGTCATAAACGTGCTCTCTGGACAAAGACACCCTTTCCTTTGAAGTAATTGCTCAAGCTTTTCAAAGCAGTCCTAGAAGTCTGTCCTCTTTCTCTTTTTATTTTTCTTTAAGAAGAGTTTGAAATGTAGTCCCTTAAACTAGCAGCAAGATAAATTTTTCTCTCAGCATTATTGAAGGCCATGACAATTTTTCAAGCAGTAAGACTTTAAAAGGTTCTTAAGGGAATCTGTTCTGCTTTATGGTCTAGCCTTTGGGAGATCCTACTATCTCAGAAAGCAAAGGTAAAGACTTTTTGTATCCCTTAACTATTGCAAATTTTTATCAGAAGAATTAACTTGATATTTTTCAGAAGATTTTTTTTTCTTGTTCTTCGTTTGGTTTAGAGACTTCAATGAGAGATTATTGATAGTTTTGGCATCTTTGAAAAGTAACATATGGCCAGAATCATCTTGTTTGAGCTGATTATTTCTCCCTGGGTATTAACTATGTGGGCTGACAAGTAGTTGGGAGGGGCAGATTTCTGAGAACACTGCAGTGAGAATGAGTTATATGGTTCCAAGATTTTGTTTCTAGGCTTTCCAAACAGAAATGTACACAGATATGGAGGGATTTTGCCTTTCCTTTCTGTGGGATGTTGTCACTTTGGCTCTGCTGTGATCCAGGATGATGTATACAGTGTAACTACAGAGACATAAAAAGATCGATTCTGTGAGCCACATGTAAAGCCTCTGCTCTGCCTCCGATTATCCCCGCTACCCTCAGTAATTTCATTGCAAGTGGTTCCCAAAATGTCCATTGAACTTAAACAGTTTTGACCTGTTAGATTTAAATCCCATATCATATATCTGCTATATTGAAGTGTAACTATTTCAAGCTCTTTATTATAAAACTTATAAAAATCAAGTAGTAGGTATTTATTTTGAATGTACTTTTTGATGAGGAGAAAATGTAAAGAATGCTCAATCTGTACAGCAGATAATAAAGGGAATACAATCTTTAAAGAAGATTGGAAACAGCTTTTCTTAGAGGAAATGACATATCTCTCCTTATATTGATGTATGTGGGTTTATAGAGGCCAGTAATGTACATTTCCTATAGGTGAGGAAAGTTAAGTAGCGCTGTCTTTTTACTGGAAATCCAGTGACTGTAAAACTGGTTACCTGAGAACCTAATGATCATAAGTCTACCCTTATGCTTTTAATTTCTTTTTCTTTTTTTCTCTCTCTCTCTTTTGTATTTCCTGAACTGTCTAACCTGCTTCCGGGATTAGCAAACATTTTGCCAAACTTTGAAGCCAAAGTCCTAGCATTGAATAGTTCCTTATTTAGAGATCAGGCCCTAGGAAAAGAAGAAATCCTTTTCCAGTTTTGAAATTACTCTGCATGTGTGTGTGTTCTGATCTGTGGAGTGAAAAATGATTTAATAAAGTTTGGATTATTGGAAACTAGTATTTTGTAAACAAAGCATAATGATAAAAATCTTACGAGTTTACAAAAAAAATAATGCTTATATCTTAACCCACCTTCTGGAGTTAATCACGAGGCTTCCTAAACTCTTAACTTTGTAGTCATAGAAAATGCTCAGTATTTCAACTCTTTTACATTAAAGAAAGAAAGAAAATTGACAGCAATCCTCTCCCTTCTTCCACCATGCTCCCAAGAAAACAAAAAGTTAGCATTGATGTTCTTAAGTGACATCATCCTCTGGGACCACCATTATCTATCTGTCCTTTGTTTACTTTGTCTTATACTTAGAATGCCTTCATTTGCCATCAGCTTTCCTTCAAACCTTCACTTTCCACTGAGGAATTCCAAGACAATTCAAGTTAAAACACAAATTTCACCATCCATGAAATGGTAACTTAAGAAAAAAAAAAAAAAAAAAGAACAATCACACCAAAAATATATTCCTTAGATCTTAGTGATTTTAATTGCTGGTAAAAAAAAAAAGTTGCCAATGGATCTAATTAGACAGTAATTTCAGAAACAACATTGTATGGTATTTTTGTGGAATGTACAGCCTTCTGGGGAAAAGGAAAACCAAGAATCAGGGCTAAAGTATTGATAACTTCTTATTTTATTATTTTTTTGAGACGGAGTCTCGCTCTGTTGCCCAGGCTAGAGTGCAGTGGCGTGATCTCGGCTCACTGCAACCTCCACCTCCCAGGTTCAAGCAATTCTCCTACCTGTTAGAGGTGCACACCACCACGCCAAACTAATTTTTTGTATTTTTAGTAGAGGCAGGGTTTCACCATGTTGGCCAGGCTGGTCTCTAACTCGTAACCTCAGGTGATCTGCCCACCTTGGCCTCCCAAAGTACTGGGATTACAGGCGTGAGCCATTGCGCCCGGCCAATAACTTTTTAAAACAGTATACTTCTTCCTAAAATTTGTGGATCCTGGCTGGGCGCGGTGGCTCACGCCTGTAATCCCAGCACTTTGGGAGGCCGAGGCAGGCGGATCACGAGGTCAGGAGATCGAGACCACGGTGAAACCCCGTCTCTACTAAAAATACAAAAAATTAGCTGGGCGCAGTGGCGGGCGCCTGTAGTCCCAGCTACTCAGGAGGCCAAGGCAGGAGAATGGTGTGAACCTGGAAGGCGGAGCTGGCAGTGAGTCGAGATCGCACCACCGCATTCCAGCCTGGGCGACAGAGTGAGACTCCGTCTCAGAAAAAAAAAAAAAAAATTTGTGGATCCTAACAGAAGCTTAAGTAGTTCAGATTGGCTTACATTATTTGCTTTATTTCTTTAAAATTTTCCCAAATTTCTGGACTTTGTAAGAAACAAAATTGCTCTTGTGACAAATTCTTTGTGGCTTGGGAAATGTCAACTTTCTAATTAAGGTAAGTTTGCCTCCCAAAGAAGTGTTAAAACTTGGAATCAAATGAAACGAAGCCCCTTGTTCTGCCTACCCCCTTGCCTCTTTGTATGTTATTTTTGGTCTCCCTTTATCACTAAGCCTGTAGGCTAGGTCCAGCAGCTGGCTGCACATAGCACGCCAGTGTGGTGCAAAGTTCCGTGTGGCATTCCTTCAACTTAAGTCTCACTCAGGATTACCTACAGTCACCAAAGCCTTGAAGGACATTGTAGGGACATGGCCGTGCATTATGTACTCTGGTACATGCATTGGAACTGTCCTGTGAAAAGCTAGACCTGAAGTGACTGCTGGCTCCAGGTGAAGTGGGGCTACAAGCACAGAGACCAGACCTCCCTTCAGGGTAGAAGCCTCTCACCTTTTCTTGTTCATGGACCTCTGTCCATTCAGTAAAACTTATTTTCCTCCCCTGCTACCTAGAAAAACAGGCATGTAGATACATTTTGCATAAAATTTCAAATAACCCAGTGACCTACTGGAAGAACCCTTGCTTTGGAAGCCGGGTTAGTTTTCTGACAGCAGCATTTGCCTTTCCAAGTACAGTAGGTTTCCAGTGGGTTTCCCCTGAGCTGCTGGACTTCCTTCCTCTGAGTGGGTGACTGCTCCAAGGATAGTCAGGTGTCTGGGGTTAAGATACAAGCGATTCTCTTCCACAGAGTTCCATAGCTGGTGGTAGCCACTTACTCTGTGGGCACATTTGTCTCTTCTGGATTACACAGTGTTAGTTATCAAGCATACTATAAAACCAATCCAAATCAAGAAATCGGGAATGCTAATAGAATCCTGCTCTCCACTTGGAAAGACTTTTTGTATCTTTACCTTTAGAGACTATAAAAGTAAAGGATCCGTTTAGTCTTCAAATCATATTCTTCAGGCTAGACATGGAATCCAGTTTATCCTTGTGGCTTGGCACGAACCCATCCACAAATCAAGACCATTACCATTTTACTTAGTCATGATGGGTTCCTTATTAACCAACCAACCAACCAACCATACGTTTTCTTTTTAGTTTGGGACAGACATACAGGATGACTTGTTCTTTCAAGTTGTGAAAGTATTCGGCAATATCTGCCAGTTTTTGGATACTCCTCCTCTGTCCCCCCTTCTCTACCCACCGCCCCTCATTTTCAATCACTATCTGTAGACTTATCTGTAAGGGTTTGGTTTTTTTTTAGGTGTTTCTTATATTGGGTTTTTTTTCGGTTATTTGAATGAACCACAGAGAAATATATCCATGAAATTTATATATCAGAAAAATACATAAGCTTAGTAGAGAGAATACATATTTAAGAGAGGGGCTGCAGAATTACTGTGGGGGTAGCAGAAGTCTAGTTCAGACTGTCTTCATTATGATGGGTTTCAGCGGCCCACAAAGGATGAGGAAGGAGGAAGGAGGGGCGAGGCCTTTCTTTGAAATGTAAATTGAGCCAAAGTTCCTAATTTTATAATCATCTGACCATAAAACATCTAATTGAGGGGCTGATTTTTTATGAGGCATTTTGGAATGCAGATTTTGTTGTATTTAACCCTGAGTTTTCAACCATTGTTGCTTGATAATCACATAAAGGTTACTTGACATTTTAGCAGGATGTGGCCCTCATAATCAAACTATAGTATGTAACTTGGATCTAGTCCTAAAGTAGGATTGCTGGACAAATTCCCAAACTATAAATTAAATAGGCATGATGGAAATTAGGAGCAAGTTGTTGATTATTTAATATGCATGAAATTGAATTGATTTGTTCTTTTTATCTGTTTTTTCCTAAAGGTGAGACTGCTGCTCCTCGGGCCATTTTGACCGGCCATGACTATGAGGTCACATGTGCTGCGGTGTGTGCGGAGCTAGGCCTGGTGTTGAGTGGTTCACAAGGTAAACCTGTGGTACCTTCACAAAATGGATGCATTTCTTGCTGTCTTCTAGAAACAAATTACCAAAGATTAATTTGGTACCTTTTTTCTAAAGCTTCTGTCTGTTATGATAGCCATTAGTCATATGGAACTATTTAAATTATTTAAAATTAAATAAAATTAAAATGTAAGTTTCTTCGTGGCACTAGCCACATTGCAGGTCCTCAGTACTCACATATGGCTAGTGGCCACTACATTGGACAGCACAGATACAGATCATTTCCATCATTGTAGAAAGTTCTGTTTCACAGCACTGCTCTAAGGAGTTTAAGATGTTTTTACAAACATATCCTGTTAATATTCATATTCCCCTGAAGCAGGAACAAGGAACGTCTTTGTATATTTGTTTATTCTTCTGAGCTATTACTGGGCCAGGTTCCGTCTTATATCTGAATGGAAGCCCCTGACCCTGTCTGTTTTAATGAGGCAGGGGCCACAGTGGCATTGAGAGTGGAGTAGAAAGATACTTAAGCTGGTTTGCCTGGAGGTTTGTGCTGGAAACAGCATTATATATTTAGGCCCAAGATATTAAGCGAGCTTAGAGCACATGCAACAAATCAGGATCTGACTAGGAATGGAGCTGTTTCCAATTCGTTGCTTACTTATCCCATCATAATAGTCTATCCATCTCTCTGTCTCTGCTCTGAGCTGAAGTCTGAACACACAACAAAGTATTATATCTCACATCTTTTGGGTTTATCTGGTGGGGAAACAGAGTATTTGGATCAGCTCCTCTGTGTCCTAAAATGTAATACTTATTAGTCTAGTTAATAAGGTGTTTTAAATATTTAAAGGATTATGTTTATAAATTTGGTCAAAACATTGAAATAGTAATAATGATAGCAATAATTCTATAACCACTGGATTTTTCCCTTATACTCAATAATTTCATACGTCCTGAGCCAACAGGAGTCGTAAAATGAACCTATTATATATTACAGGTCATCTTTTCTTTGCACAGTAGTATGGAACTGTAAAAGTGAGCACGCCAACTGAAACCATACAAAGTGATCTGAATAATCATTGGTAAATTTTACAATTGTTCCATGGTCTTTAAAAATTTTTGTCAGGCTGGGCATGGTGGCTCATGCCTGTAATCCCAACATTTTGGGAGGCTAAGGTGGGAAGATCATTTGAGGCCAGGAGTTCAAGACCAGTCTGGCAACATAGTGAGACCCCCATCTCTACAAAAAAATTAAGAATTAGCTGGGCATGGGGTGCACACCTGTAGTCCCAGCTGCTTGGGAAGGTGAGATGGGAGGATTGCAGGAGGTGAAGGCTGTAGTAAGCCATGATCATGCCACTGCACTCCAGCCTGGGTGACACAGCAAAACCCTGTCTCTAAGAATAATTTTGTCAAAACATTAAAAACTCATACTCAGTTATACATATAACATGAAAAAAGTAGTAAAACTCACATGTACTTAATACACTGTAATTTAAAACATTTGATACATTGATAATTATTTTATTTGTGAAAAACATATCAAGAGTAGTTTGAACAGTGCTTACTGCCTTCTTGTTATATACATGTAAGGAGCTAGCATCTTTTCTATGCCTTGGGGAGCTGTCATACTCTTTTCTAAGTTGGAACCAGCATCTAACATTTTATCTTTTGTGCTTTCAATGTCATGAAATATTCCCTAGAATTCCTTTAATGTGAGGCTTTTGCTGGTTTAAATTCTGGGACATTTTTGTTACACCTTCTTCCCTAACTTACACTGATAAGTTCCTTCATTCCCTTCCTGGCTGCATATCTACAGTGTCTCAGCAGGGTCAGCATCCCACAGGCAGCTCGCTCTTCTATAATTCCATTTATATTCAATTCAAATTGTACTTTCAGTTTTATCATTTTCCATTTCTTTACTGCAGTTTCATCTTTGTTGGCCAATACCCCTTTTTGATTATCCATTTTTGTGAAATGTTACATGGCTTTATCACTGGGAGACAAAAAAGCAACACAGCTGCACAGTTTGCTGTCTGTGTGGGAACTGAATAACAGATAATGCAGTGAGCAGTCATCGACATATTTTGAAAGGAGTGATGTGATTGGTCACTGATGATGATGATGCACATCTGTTATTTATATAGTGATTTGTGGACTGAAGAGCTAGCCACAAAAGTGCATACTTTATGCAATTACTATGACAACCTAAATTTGAACTATGTTATTGGAGGGCTGGTGTTATTTAAGGAGTGATAACTGAAATTCATGCATGCTGGAACTGTGTAAAGCAAACACTGCCTGTGGATATTTAAAAAATTTATCAACTACCTGAGTGGTCAAGAAAGAGCTAAAAGCCTTATTTTTAAAAGGGCAAGCTTTCAATAGTCATTGTGGGGAAAAGGCAACGATTCCATGTGGCCATGAGTAATTTAGCCAGTAGAGTAGCAGGGCGCATACCCCAGTGACCCCCGTTATCTGACTATCTCTTGGAACTTGCTCATCACACAAGCAATTTTTGTTCCTTATTCCTTCTTTGCCTTGCATGCAGCAGGTACTCAACAGAAACAAAAAGCTTGGCTGTGTGTGGGCTCCCAGTAGCTGCCTGTCCTTCTCTGGCACCTTGGCCTGGTGGTCCACCCAGGCGTTGGGAGTGGTAGATGCTGCTCCTTGCTGTGAAGGCAGCAGGGAGGTGGCTTCACTCAGTTGCCAAGGAGAAGTGGCCGAAGGGTTCCTGTGTGAATTTTTTGGAGGTTGAGAGGAACTACCAGGGACCCCCTTTCAGTGTAAAAAAAGTAGTGAGCAGTTGCGGGGGAAGAGGGCTAAGGCACTCAGAGGCTGATTGAGCTGGCTGTCCCTGCATAGGCCCACAGTGCCGTGGCCGTTGGGGCTCCTGCAAGGTGCAGGGAGAGGTCTTAGTGTACCTGCCCGCAGCCCTTGTTTGTTTGCATCCCAGCCTCCTTGAAGCTGTGCTAGAATTTGAAGCTTATCCTGTTTCTCAGTTCCTCCAGTTTGTATTGCCTGTTAGCATAATGAATTTCATAGAGTAACTTCCTGTCTCTTGAGGAAAGTGAACTTGGACTTACATGGTTTGGCTTCTCTCCTCTCCTGAGTGGAAGGTGAGATCTGGCAAACATGAAGAGGAGATTTTGCAAAATAACTTACACGTAAGATGGAAGTTTTTTAAAGGCTTTCTACATCTATAGTGTGGTTCTATAATCCTGTTTGATCTGTGCTCAAGATTCAGATCATATTGTCTGTTTTCATTCAATAATTTTGCCTTTTATTTCTCCTCTCTTCTCAGAAGGACCATGTCTCATACATTCCATGAATGGAGACTTGTTGAGGACCTTGGAGGGTCCTGAAAACTGCCTGAAACCAAAACTCATTCAGGCTTCAAGAGAGGGTCATTGTGTCATATTCTATGAAAACGGCCTCTTCTGTACATTCAGTGTGAATGGAAAACTCCAGGCCACGATGGAAACAGATGATAACATAAGAGTGAGTGCCCTGGGGACTCTTCAGCATTCACGACTTTTACCTCAACGTGTGTCAAGTGGGGAGGGAGAGGGTTCGCGAAAGAAACCTCTATTTTTGGATTGCCGAGGGCCTCTTTTCCATACCAACAAAAAATCTTTAGGTAGCACTCAGACAAGGCTCACACACTTCACACACCACAGCAGTGCCAGCTGTGCTGACCACGTCACTCAGCGCAGCTGAGGACGGTCCTTCAATAGAAGAGGTTTTCTTAGGGGCTTCTGAAGCCATCCTGGGTGGCTTTTAGTGGCACTGCTCATTTCTTTTTTTCTAAGAAAATGCACTGCACATTGTTTTCTGAGTATGAAAGCTGAAATAGTACATTAGATGACACTTAAAACTGGATTCTCTTTACATCTGAATAGCTTGGTGGTGGGAGCAGTAGGGATTATGACTATTTAGGTTTATTAATTTCAGCTATGACTTCTTTATGGACAACAAGACCAAAAACATGTTAAAGAAGCTGGGCTTCAAATTATGATATGAATTAGGCAGGCATTTTCTCCCACTGGGTCTACCCGAAATGGCACCGCCAGTGGACCTTCTGGGCTCTTGCTTCATCTCCAGGACAGGACTCCACAAGTATTAGACATTGAGAAAAAGAGTAAGAACTATTCTTTTCAGAGGCTAGTTTCTCAAGGTCCTTTGTTTCTTACCTCCAAACTCCTTGGTGAAGGTTAAAGTAAAATAAAGCTGGGGTGGTCCTCATTTTCCAGAATCAGGCTGGAGGGCGGGGCATGTGAGCTGTATACAATGAGGGGACCCAGGACATGTTGGGGGCAGGAGTAGGGTCACAGGGGCTTCTACCCTGGCGTTGGGCTAGCTCTGGATATTTCACTCATTGCTATTCTGACCTATGCAGCTTAGATGTCATAAATTCTCCCACTTTCCCAGATCTAGTCTGATCACCCCCTTCTCCTAAGTAAATACTGGTCTCAGGGAACAAAGCTCCTACATATAGGTTACATTGAGGAAATGAAGGACCCTTGCTGCTCTGTCTCCTGGGATTCATTTCTTGATTCAGTGGACGGCTTCCTTCTTGTCTCCACTGTTCTCTGCGGTCTCTCCATCACATTCTGCCGGCCTCCACGAGGCACGCACAGAGACACACTCGTACTCGCTTTTATTTTTCCCTACCTTCCCATAATGCTGCATTTAAACCAAGTACACATCAGAGGATTTTCTTTTCCTCTTTTCTTTACAATAATAATGTGGATAATCTGTCACTTTGAGTTGCGATTATATTGTCAGCTACGCTAATAAATCTGTAAAATAATTTGAGATCCCTGGCTGACTGAAGCAATTTCTGTGGCATTTCAGTTAGTACCAGGGGCTCTGGGAAGTTCCTTGAGGCAGCAGTGGGAGGCTTTCTGCAGACCATTCATACACACATGCTTCTCCTCTCTGCCCTGTAGCCATTGCTTTTTCCCTCTTTAATATTTCCCACTGGATTTTAGGCTTAAACAATCCATTGCCTTTTTCCCAGCACTCCTGCACTTTATCATGCTAACTTGCAAGTGGCAACTGTGTGATTAAAGCGAGCTTGCCTAAAATGAGCAATACCTGCCCACAGCTCCAGAGACTGATACTTTCACAGCTCACTACCTCGGGAGGCGAGGAAGGAAGCCACAGGCTGGGAATCCAAGACACCACAGGGCAGAATCTCCAGCTCCTTCCTCAATCTGAGCCCATATAAGGAATGGACACCATGGAAACAAATTAGTCATCAGCTCAGACCAGAAATTAAGTTTCTGTGAAATACCAAGAACCCTGCAGGCAGGCAGCCTGGGGAAGCTCTGCACTTCCCACCTATTTTTATTTTAGATGCCAGATTGCTCTGTGGCATTTTGGTTAGCAGCATATCACAGTCCATCAACTAGACAGTGTTGAGATGTCTTTATGAATAGCTGATATTTAAGGAGGCAGCCTGTACAGAGCAGCAAAGTTATTTTGTCCTAAACAAGGGAGAACCACCATTCACCCAGGGGAATGCATTTGTTTTCCCTTCCTGAGGCTGTTTTAGAATGTGGTCATCCCCAGCAGATTGCTGTGGCCTGCTACTACCTCCTTAAAACCCGTGCAGCCACGGCATTGTCCAGAGCACTCAGGATTTCAGGGGATGAGATTAACATGTGTCTGGGGCCCTCTGAAAACCTCTAGTCACAACCCAACCTGGATGCGGAGGCGGCCTGTCAGAATTTGAGTGGGAGATCAGGTGCTGCTTGCTAAATGTTACCCTGGCTCTTGCCGCCAGAGGAATTTGGCCTCTCCTGAAAGAGGCCAGCGAAATCTTTTTTCACCTTGGGAGGCATCTGATTCATTAAAATGTTTTGAATGCTGATGACTGTATAGTCCCTAAAGCCCAGGTTTTACTTAATTTCAGATGGAAGCAGGATTAGAGATTCTTTACTAGAACAAAGAATTAAAGATCAGTGGTTTTGTTTTAGTATAACACTTATCCAGTAAAAAGCTTCAAGTATCAAATTCAAATGAACTACAACCATAAGGTTAATGGATTTTCATCAGCTGAATTTTATAAGTGTAGCAAATAATTGTTTGTCCTAGTCTCCACTGCAGTTCCCAGACACCCCTAGAGATTGCCATTTGTGAAATGAGTGGGGGAAAAGGATACTGATTTTTGCTCATCTTGAAAATATCTTAATATCTGTGTTAACAAAACTTAGAGAATATGTAACTAACTGTCTTCCACACATGGGTTTTTATTTCCTAGATGTGTTTTTGTGTTCTTGAGAATAAGCTGTATTTAAGGGACTACTAAAAGTTGGCATTTGGGTGAATGTGAAATAAATGGCTAAGAAAGTCTTTGCCTTTCTATGATTTTTTAAAAGATATGTCAAACAGTGAAGACTTAAGGCAGCTATGCTAGAACTGAATGTAGAACAGTGTCAATGTATCAGAAATTAGGTTTTTTTCTTTCTGGCTTGCCAGCACAATCTGTATTCCCCTGTGTCCAGGTGGACATGCGATTACAGGTGTTTGTAGTGGCTTTAAAACTCTGATGCCATCCACTAAAGAAAGGAAATTTGTATCTTAATAAGCTAAGAAAGCAAGGCTTGGAGGTACCAGGCAGGAGGAGAGGAAGGGGTAATAGGATTGGCTTTTGGAGGAGGGAGGGACAATTAGGAGTAATCACACTTTTTCTATAAATGGACAGAAAGTAAATATTTTCAGCTTTGAGGGTTCTGCATTCTCTGCTGCAACTACCTGTGAAAGCAGTCATAAACAAATAATAGGTGTGGCGATGTTCTGGTAAAACCTTATTTATGGAAGGCCAGGCGCAGTGGTTCTCGCCTGTAATCCCAGCACTTTGGGAGTCCGAGCGGGTGGATCACTTGAGGTCAGGAGTTCAAGACCAGCCTGACCAACATGGTGAAACCCCGTCTCTACTAAAAATACAAAAGTTAGACGGGTGTTGTGGTGGGCACCTGTAATCCCAACTGCTCAGGAGGTTGAGGTATGAGAATCACTTGAACCTGAGAGGTGGAGATTGTAGTGAGCTGAGACTGCGCCACTGCACTCCAGCCTGGGTGACAGAGCAAGACCCTGTCTCGAGGGGGGAAAAAAAAAAACCTGTTTATGGGGATTCAAATTTGGAATTCATATAAATATTCATGTGTCATGAAAAATTCAAGCATTAAAAAATGTTAAACAATTATATGAAACAGGCAGTGGGCTGCACTTGGCCCGCAGGCTTTCATTCATGGATGCCCATTTTACAGGATCAAAGAGCAAATTCTGAGCCTGTACTGTCTGTTCAGCGCTAGTAGGAAAGGACAGAGGGGCACAGCCTAGAGCTGACTAAACCACAGGCTGGAGCACTGTCAGCCCTGGAGCAAGAAAATGCTGAACTGAGATTTAATCACCCTGGAAGTTGTTGTAGCTCTCTACAAAGTCTTCTTCCCAACTGCTGTCAAAATCCAGCAGGCTCAGGGAAGGTGCCGAGGCTGCTGGCCGCCTCCCTCCAGCTGGAGTTGCAGGGGATTAGAGGGGATGTAAGGTCAGGTGGCACCATCTGCCAAGTCTTGGGACAAAACAGGCTTATTAGCATGTCTGCAGTGCAAATGAAGAGATGCCAGGGCTTCTCATTAGAGCACTGGTCCCAGTCCACAACACACACCATTCCAGTAGCATTTGTAGAACTGGAAGAGTTTGCTACCTAGTATTTAAAAAAGCAAAGCCAAAACAATCTCAAGCATTGATGAACTTTGTCCATTTGGTTTTTGAAAAATGGCAGATCTTCTACAACTCACGATTTTCTAAAAACTCCTGAGGATCTCTCTCTCTTCTCTCTGCACCGTAGTAGCTGGTGTAAGAATGACTCAAAAACAGGGTGGGGGCCGAAAGTTTCCTAGAACCACATTTCTACTGAATGTTGCTGTGTCTCACAGGCCATCCAGCTGAGCCGAGATGGGCAGTACCTGCTCACAGGAGGAGACAGAGGAGTGGTCGTGGTCCGGCAGGTGTCGGACCTCAAGCAGCTCTTTGCCTATCCAGGATGTGACGCTGGAATCCGGGCCATGGCGCTGTCTTACGACCAGAGGTAACACTGGAATCATGGGCTACAAATAGGGGTTTCAAAAACTGCAGAGGGGACTGGTCGTGTTGGCTTACACCTGTAATCCCAGTACTTTGGGAGGCTGAGGCAGGAGAATCACTTGAGCCCAGGAGTTCGAAGCCAGCCTGGGCAACATTGCAAGACCCTGTCTCTACAGAAAAAAAAAATTTTTTTTTCAAAATTGTATAGTAAAACCTGCAGAGGGAATTTATTTAAATGGGCTGATGGAGTTGAGTTGTGGGGGTCACCTGTACAATCAAACCAAGAACACTTTTTTAAAAAGTGTGATTTTCTTTCTGATGACATTGCCACTCTTGGACAAAGGCTGAGTTCTCAAGGAATAGACAGAATTTAAGTAGCAAAGGCTCTGATTACAGTGATGCAAAGCTTTTTATATTTCTTTGAAGTATCTTTTTTTAAATTATACCTTAAGTTCTGGGGTACATGTGCAGAACGCAGTTTGTTACATAGGTATACATGTGCCATGGTGGTCTGCTGCACCCATCAACCCATCATCTACATTAGGTATTTCTCCTAATGCTATCCCTCCCCTAGGCCCCCACCCCCACAACAGGCCCCCGTATGTGATGTTCCTCTGTGTCCATATGTTCTCTTTGTTCAACTCCCACTTATGAGTGAGAAGATGAGGTATTTGCTTTTCTGTTCCTGTGTTAGTTTGCTGAGAATGACAGTTTCCAGCTTCATCCATGTCCCTGCAAAGGACATGAACTCATTCTTTTGTATGGCTGCATAGTATTCCATGGCGTATATGTGCCACATTTTCTTTATCCAGTCTATCATTGATGGGCATTTGGGTTGGTTCCAAGTCTTTGCTATTGTGAATAGTGCCGCAATAAACATAGATGTGCATGTGTCTTTATACTAGAATGATTTATAATCCTTTGGGTATATACCCAGTAATGAGATTGTGGGTCAAATGGTATTTCTGGTTCTATATCCTTGAGGAATTGCCACACTGTCTTCTACAATGGTTGAACTAATTTACACTCCCACCAACGATGTAAAAGCATTTCTGTTTCTCCACATCCTCTCCAGCATCTGTTGTTTCCTAACTTTTTAATGATTGCCATTCTGAAGGGTGTGAGATGGTGTCTCATTGTGGTTTTGATTTGCATTTCTCTAATGACCAGTGATAAAGAGCTTTTATTCATATGTTTGTTGGCTGCGTAAATGTCTTCTTTTGAGAAGTGTCTGTTCATATCTTTTGCCCACTTTTTGATGGGGTTGTTTTTTTCTTGTAAATTTGTTTAAGTTCTTTGTAGATTCTGGATATTAGCCCTTTGTCAGTTGGATAGATTGCAAAAATTTTCTCCAATTCTGTAGCCTACCTGTTCACTCTGATGATAGTTTCTTTTGCTGTGCAGAAGCTCTTTAATTAGATCCCATTTGTCAATTTTGGCTTTTGTTGCCATTGCTTTTGGTGTTTTAGTCATGAAGTCTTTGCCCATGCCTATGTCCTGAATGGTATTGCCTAGGTTTCCTTCTAGGGTTTTTATGGTTTTAGGCCTTACGTTTAAGTCTTTCATCCATCTTGAGTTAATTTTTGTATAAGGTGTAAGGAAGGGGTCCAGTTTCAGTTTTCTGCATATGGCTAGCCAGTTTTCCCAACACCATTTACTAATTAGGGAATCCTTTCCCCATTGCTTGTTTGTGTCAGGTTTGTCAAAGATCAGATGGTTGTAGATGCATGGTGTTATTTCTGAGGCCTCTGTTCTGTTCCATTGGTCTATATATCTGTTTTGGTACCAGTACCATGCTGTTTTGGTTACTGTAGCCTTGTAGTATAGTTTGAAGTCAGGTAGTATGGTGCCTCCAGCTTTGTTCTTTTTGCTTAGGATTGTCTTGGCTATACAGGCTCTTTTTTGGTTCCATATGAAATTTAAAGTAGTTTTTTCTAATTCTGTGAAGAAAGTCAATGGTAGCTTGATGGGGATAGCATTGAATTGACTCTATAAATTACTTTGGGCAGTATGACCATTTTCACAATATTGATTCTTCCTATCCATGAGCATGGAATGTTTTTCCACTTATTTGTGTCCTCTCTTATTTCCTTGAGCAGTGGTTTGTAGTTCTCCTTGAAGAGGTCCTTCACATCCCTTGTAAGTTAGATTCCTAGGTATTTAATTGTCTTTGTAGCAATTGTGAATGGGAGTTCACTCATGATTTGGCTGTTTGTCTGTTATTGGTGTATAGGAATGCTTGTGATTTTTGCACATTGATTTTGTATCCTGAGACTTTGCTGAAGTTGCCTATCAGCTTAAGGAGATTTTGGGCTGAGATGCTGGGGTTTTCTAAATATACAATCATGTCATCTGCAAACAGGGATAATTTGACTTCCTCTTTTCCTATCTGAATACCCTTTCTTTCTTTCTCTTGCCTGATTGCCCTGGCCAGAACTTCCAATACTATGTTGAATAGGAGTGGTGAGAGAGGGTATATCCTTGTCTTGTGCCAGTTTTCAAAGGGAATGCTTCAGTTTTTGCCCATTCAGTATGATATTGGCTGTGGGTTTGTCATAAATAGCTCTTATTATTTTGAGATACATTCCATCAGTACCTAGTTTATTGAGAGTTTTTAGGATGAAGGGGTGGTGAATTTTGTTGAAGGCCTTTTCTGCATCTATTGAGATAATCATGTGGTTTTTGTCATTGATTCTGTTTATGTGATGGATTACTTTTATTGATTTGTGTATGTTGAACCAGCCTTGCATCCTAGGGATGAAGCCCACTTGATCATGGTGGATAAGCTTTTTGATGTGCTCCTGGATTTGGTTTGCCAGTATTTTATTGAGGATTTTCGCATTGATGTTCATTAGGCATATTGGCCTGAAATTTTCTTTCTTTCTTGTGTCTCTGCCAGGTTTTGGTATCAGGATGATGCTGGCCTCATAAAATGAGTTAGGATTCCCTCTTTTTCTATTGATTGGAATAGTTTCAGAAGGAATGGTACCAGCTCCTTTTTGTACCTCTGGTAGAAATTGGCTGTGAATCTGTCTGGTCCTGGACTTTTTTTGGTTGGTAGGCTATTGATTTCAGAACTTGTTATTGGTCTATTCAGGGATTTGACTTCTTCCTGGTTTAGACTTTGGAGGGTGTATGTGCCCAAGAATGTATCCATTTCTTCTAGATTTTCTAGTTTATTTGCGTAGAGGTGTTTATAGTATTCTCTGATGGTAGTTTGTATTTCTGTGTGATCAGTGGTGATAACCCCTTTATCATTTTTTATTGTGTATATTTGATTCTTCTCTCTTTTCTTGTGTATTAATCTGGCTAGTGGTCTATTTTGTTGATCATTTCAAAAAAACCAGCTCCTGGATTCATTGATCTGAAGGGTTTTTTGTGTCTCTGTCTCCTTCAGTTCTCCTCTGATCTTAGTGTCTTCTGCTAGCTTTTGAATGTGTTTGCTCTTCCTTCTGTAGTTCTTTTAATTGTGATGTTAGGGTGTTGATTTTAAATCTTTCCTGCTTTCTCTTGTGGGCATTACGTACTATAAATTTCCTTCAAAACACTATTTTAAATGTGTCCCAGAGATTCTGGTATGTTGTGTCTTTGTTCTCATTGGTTTCAAGTAACATCTTTATTTCTGCCTTCATTTCAGTATTTGCCCAGTAGTCATTCAGGAGCAAATTGTTCAGTTTCTATGTAGTTGTGCGGTTTTGAGTGAGTGTCTTAATCCTGAGTTCTAATTTGATTGCACTGCGTCTGAGAGACTATTGGTTATGATTTCCATTCTTTTGCATTTGCTGAGGAGTGTTTTACTTTCAATTATGTGGTCAATTTTAGAATAAGTGCAGTGTGGTGCTGAGAAGAATGAATATTCTGATGATTTGGGGTGGAGATTTCTGTAGATGTCTGTTAGGTCTGCTTGGTCCAGAGCTGAGTTCAAGTTCTGAATATCCTTGTTGTTGCTTTTCTGTCTCATTGATCTAATATTGACAGTGGGGTGTTAAAATCTCCCACTATTATTGTGTGGGAGTCTAAGTCTCTTTGTAGGTCTCTAAGAACTTGCTTTATGAATCTGGGTGCTCCTGTATTGGGTGCATATATATTTAGGATAGGTCTTGTTGTTGCATTGATCCCTTTACCATTATGTCATGGCCTTCTTTGTCTCTTTTGATCTTTGTTGATTTAAAGTCTGCTTTATCAGAGACTAGGATTGCAACCCTGCTTTTTTTTTTTCTTTCCATTTGCTTGGAAAATCTTCCTCCATCCCTTTATTTTGAGCCTATGTGTGTCTTTGCATGTGAGATGGGTCTCCTGAATATAGCACACTGATGGGTCTTGACTCTTTATCCAATTTGCCAGTCTGTGTCTTTTAATTGGAGCATTTAGTCCATTTACATTTAAAGTTAATATTGTTATGTGTGAATTTGATCCTGTCATTATGATGCTAGCTGGTTATTTTGCTCATTAGTTGATGCAGTTTCCTTCATAGCGTCGATGGTGTTTACAATTTGGTATGTTTTCATAGTGGCTGGTACCGGTTGTTCCTTTCCATGTCTAGTGCTTCCTTCAGGAGCTCTTGTAAGGCAGGCCTGGTGGTGACTAAATGTCTCAACACTTGCTTGTCTGTAAAGGATTTTATTTCTCCTTTGCTTATGAAGCTTAGTTTGGCTGGATATGAAATTCTGGGTTGAGAATTATTTTCTTAGAGAATGTTGAATATTGGCCCCCACTCTCTTCTGGCTTGTAGGGTTTCTGCTGAGAGATCCGCTGTTAGTCTGATGGGCTTTGCTTTGTGGGTAACCTGACCTTTCTTTCTGGCTGCCCTTAACAATTTTTCCTTCATTTCTACCTTCACATAATCTGATGATTATGTGTCCTGGAGTTGCTCTTCTTGAGAAGTATCTTTGTGGTGTTCTCTGTATTTCCTGAATTTGAATGTTGGTCTGTCTTGCTAGGTTGGGGACGTTCTCCTGGATAATATCCTGCAGAGTGTTTTCCAACTTGGTTCCATTCTCCCTGTCACCTTCAGGTATACAAATCAAATGTAGATTTGGTCTTTTCACATAGTCCTATATTTCTTGAAGGCTTTGTTTGTTCCTTTTCATTCTTTTTTCTCTAATCTTCTCTCTTTATTTCATTAAGTTGATCTTCAATCTCTGATATCCTTTCTTCTGCTTGATCGATTTGGCTATTGATACTTGTGTATGCTTCATGAAGTTCTCGTGCTGTGTTTTTCAGCTCCATCAGGTCATTTATGTTCTTCTCTAAACTGGTTATTCTAGTTAGCAATTCGTCTAACTTTTTTTCAAGGTTCTTAGCTTCCTTGCATTGGATTAGAACGTGATCCTTTAGCTCGGAGGAGTTTATTACCCACCTTCTGAAGCCTACTTCTGTTAATTTCTCAAACTGTTCAGCTTTGTTCCATTTTTCTGGCAAGGAGTTGTAATCCTTTGGAGAAGAGGCATTCTGGTTTTTGCAATTTTCAGCTTTTTGCACTGGTTTCTCCCCATTTTTGTGGATTTATCTATCTTTCTTTAGTCTTTGATGTTGGTGACCTTTGGATGGGTTTTCTGTGTCTAGACATCCTTTTTGTTGATGTTGACGCTATTCCTGTTTGTTAGTTTTCCTTCTCACAGGCCTCTCAGCTGCAGCTCTGCTGGAGTTTGCTAGAGGTCCATTCCAGACCCTGTTTACCTGGGTATCACCAGTGGAGGCTACAGAACAGCAAACATTGCTGCCAGTTCCTTCCTCTGGAAGCTTCATTCCAGAGGGGCCTCCGCCAGAGCTCTCCTGTATGAGGTGTCTCCCAGTCAGGAGACACAGGGGTTGAGGACCCACTTGAGGAGGCAGTTTGACCATTAGCAGAGCTCAAATGCTGTCCTGGGAGATCCACTGCTGTCTTCAGAGCTGTCAGACAGGGACATTTAAGTCTGCTGAAGCTGCACCCACAGCTGCCCCTTCCCCCAGGTGCTCTGTCCCAGGGAGATGGGGGTTTTATCTATAAGCCCCTAACTGGGGCTGCTGCCTTTTTTTTCAGAGATGCCCTGCCCAGAGAGGAGGAATCTAGAGAGGCAGTCTGGCCACAGTGGCCTTGCTGAGCTGCAGTGAGCTCCACCCAATTCGAACTCCCCAGAGGCTTTGTTTACACCGTGAGGGTAAAACCACCTACTCAAGCCTCACCAATGGCGGACGCTCCTCCCCCCACCAAGCTTGAGTGTCCCAGGTCAACTTCAGACTGCTGTGCTGGCAGCAAGAATTTCAAGCCAGTGGATCTTAGCTTGCTGGGCTCCATGGGAGTGGGACCCACCGAGCCAGACCACTTGGCTCCCTGGCTGCTCCTCCCCCCACCAAGCTTGAGTGTCCCAGGTCAACTTCAGACTGCTGTGCTGGCAGCAAGAATTTCAAGCCAGTGGATCTTAGCTTGCTGGGCTCCATGGGAGTGGGACCCACCGAGCCAGACCACTTGGCTCCCTGGCTTCAGCCTCCTTTCCAGGGGAGTAAACGGTTCTGTCTCGCTGGCATTCCAGGCACCACTGGGGTATGAAAAAAAAAAAAAAACTCCTGCAGCTAGCTCAGTGTCTACCCAAACGGCCGCCCTGTTTTGTGCTTAAAACCCAGGGCCCTGGTGGTGTAGGCACCCAAGGGAATCTCCTGGTCTGCAGGTTGTGAAGACTGTGGGAAAAGCGCAGTATCTGGGCCAGAGTGCACCATTCCTCATGGCACAGTCCCTCACAGCCTCCATTGGCTGGGGGAGGGAATTCCCCGACCCCTTGTGCTTCCATGGGTGAGGCAACACCCCACCCTGCTTCGGCTTGCCCTCCGTGGGCTGCACCCACTGTCCAACCAGTCCCAACGAGATGAACCAGGTACCTCAGTTGGAAATGCAGAAATCATCCACCCAGCGTCAATCTCACTGGGAGCTGCAGACCAGATCTGCTCCTATTCGGCGATTGCCAGCCTGAAGAAGTATCATCATCTTTATCAGTAAATAAAATTGAAAGAGCTGTAAAGATGTTTAATGTAAAATGCCTTTATCTCTGCATATCTCTGCATATGGAGAGTCCCCTGAAAGATAGGGCTTATTTCCTAAAAGCTCTCAAGTGGTAGATTTTGGGGGGATCATCTTTATCTGGCACCTTATTTCCTCTTAACGTATAGTCACTCATTTTTGTTCCTTTTAAAAAAAATTGTGGCAACATATAATATTTTCCATCTAAACTCTTTTCGATATATAATTTAGTGGCATTATGTACATTTACAGTGTTGTGCCACCATCACCATCATCCATTTCCAGACCCTTTTCATCATAAACAGAAGCTCTGCATGTTAATGACTCTCTCTCCCACCAGCTCATGTGCATGCTACTTTCTGTCTCTATGAATTTGCCTCTTCTAAGCACCTTCTGTTAAGTGGAATCATACAATATTTGTTGTGTTGTGCCTGGCTTATTTCACTTGGCATAACACTTTCAAGGTTCTTGCATGTCGTAGCACGTATCAGAATATTATATGAATATTCTGTGTTCTGTTTATCGTTCACCTGTTGATGATGGACACTTGGGTTGTTTCTACCTTTTGGCTATGGTGAGTAATGCTGCTATGAACATTATCATACAAATATCTATTCAAGTCCCTTTTTACAGTCCTTTTGGGTGTATGCCCAGGAGTGGAATTGCTGGGTTATATGGCAATTCCGTTTGACTTTTTGAGGAAACCCTAAAGTGTTTTCCACAGTGGCTGTACCATTTTACATGGGTTCCAATTTCTCCACATCCTTATCAACACCTTGCTCTATTTTTTAACAGTTGTCCTAACAGGCGTGGTCTCTCATTGTGGTTTTGATTTCCCTAATGATCAGTGATGTTGTCTTTTCACTCTCTTCCTAATATCCTTAGATGCTCAAAAGATTTTACTTTTTGTTTGTTTTTTGAGACAGGGTCTCACTCTTTTGCCCAGACTGGAGTGCAGTGGCACAATCACAGCTCACTGAAGCCTCAACCTCCTGGGCTCAAATGATTCTCCCGCCTCAGCTACATGGTAGCTGGTACTCCAGGCATGTGCCACCATGCCCAGCTTTTTTATTTTCTGTAGAGACAGGGTCTCACTATGTTGCCCAGGCTGGTCTTAAACTCCTGGGCTCAAACAAACAATCCTGCTGACTCAGCCACCCAAAGGGATGGGATTATAGCCATAAGCCACTATACCTAGCCCTGATTTTACATTTTATGAAGTCCTATTTTTTGTTATGAGTTTGTTTTGTTATCTTGTCTCTTTTGTTTTGATATCATATCCAAGAAGCCACTGCAAAATCCAAGGTCATGAAGGTTTTCCCATATGTTTTCATCTAAAAGTTTTATAGTTTTAATTTGTATTTAGGTTTTTGATCTGTTTTTAGTTTTTTAATATAATGGTAGGTAAGAGTCCACCTTCATTGTTTTGCATGTGGACATCCTATTTTCCCAGCATAATTTGTTGAAAAGAAGGTGCTTTCTCCGTTGAAAGGTCTTGGCACCCTATTTGAGCACATATGTGAGGGATTATTTCTCAACTTTCTCTTCTGTTGGTCTGCCTATATCAGTGTGACAATGTTTTGATTACTGTCGCATTGTAACAACAGTAAGTAAGTTTTCAAATCAGAAAATGTGCAACTGCTAACATATTTCTTCTTTTTCAAGATTGTTTTGGCTGTTAGGGGTTTCTGTTTCGCTCTGTCACCCAGGCTGGAGTGCAATGGCATGATCTCGGCTCACTGCAATTCTTAATTTTCCTTTTGGACTGCTCATTGTTTGTTAGTGTATAAAAATGCAACTGATTTTCGTGTTGTATATCCTGCAAATTTGCTGAATTCATTTATTAGCTCTTTTGTTTTGTTTTGGTGTGGAATTTTTAGGATTTCCTACATACAAGATCATGTCATCTGTAAACAGAGACAGTTTCACTCCTCCTTTCCAATTTGGATACTTTTTTCTTGTGTAATTGCTCTGTCTAGGACTTTCAGTACTGTTGGATAAGAGTGATTAAAGTGGGCATCCTTGCCTTGTTCCCAATCATAGGGGAAAAACTTTTTTTCATCGAGTGTGGTGTTAGCTGTGAGTTATTCATACATGCTGTTTATCATTTGAGGTAGTTTCCTTCTACTCCTATTGTTTTCATAATAAAAGGATGATGAATTTTGTCACATGTCAAATTTTCCAGCATCAGTTGAGATGATCATGTGGGCTTGTTTTGTTGTTTGTTCTGTTAATGTAGTATGTTATATGTTGGTTGACTTTTGCATGGTGAGTCATCCTTGCATTCCCAGAATGAATCCCACTGGGTCATGGTGTACATTCCCACTACCATGCTAGTGAATTCAGTTTGCTAGTATTTTGTATCCTGGTCTGTGTGTTCTTTTGTTGTAATGTCTTCAACTGGCTTTGGTGTCATGGTAATACTGGCCTTATTGAATCACTTAGGAAGTGTTCTGGATTCTTTAATTTTTTGGAAGAAGAAATTGAGAAGGATTGGTGTTAATACTTCTTTAAATGTTTGGTAGAATTCATCAGTGAAGCCATCTTGTCTAGGACTTTTCTTATTGGGAGGTTTTTGATTACTGATTCAATCTCTTCACTTGTCATAAGTCTAATCATTTCTATTTCTTCATTCAGTTTTGGTATACTGTTTTCAGGAATTTGTCTATTTCATCTAGGTTGCCCTATTTGTTGGTATACAGTTGTTTCTAATAGTCTCTCTGAACTCAGTTTCTGCCAAATCAGTAATGTCCCAACTTTTATTTCTGATTTTAGTAATTTGAGTCATTTTTTTTTTTTTTTTGAGATGGAGTCTCACTCTATCACCCAGGCTGGAGTGCAATGGTGCAATCTCAGCTCACTGCAACCTCTGCTTCCCAGGTTCAAGTGATTCTCCTGCCTCAGCCTTCCAAGTAGCTGGGATTACAGGTGCCCACTACCACGCCCAGTTAATTTTTGTATTTTTAGTAGAGACGAGGTTTCCCCGGGTTGGCCAGGCTGGTCTCGAACTCCTGACCCCAGGTGATCCACCCACCTTGGCCTCCCAAAGTGCTGGGATTACAGGCATGATCCACCATGCCCAGCCAAGTCATCTTAGTCTAGCTAGAGGTTTGTCAATTTTGTTATTTTTTCAAAGAACCAATTTTTGGGTTTTTTCCTATCAATCATTTTACTATTTTCTGCTTTATTTCTCTCTACTCTGTTCTTTATTATTTTCTTCCTTCTGCCTAGCCTGGGGTTTTGTCTGTTTTCTAGTTCCTTAAGAGGTAAAGTTAGGTTATTGATTTGAGATATTTTTAAATCTATGTGTTTACAGCTAAAAATTTCCATTTTAGCATTGCTTTTGCTGCATTTCATAAGTTTTGGCTTGTTGTATTTCCTTTTCATTTGTCTCAGTATTTTCTGATGTCTCTTATGTTGTTGTTTGTTTTTTTTGACTCATCATTTATTTACTTTCCACATATTTGTGAATTTTCTAGTTTACCTTCAGTTATTGGTACCTAGTTTCATTCTATTATGATCAGAAAAGCTACTTTGTGATTTTAATCTTTACTAAGTCATTAACACTTGTGGCCTAACATATGGTTTATCTTGGAGACTATTCCATGCGCACTGCAAAAAAATGTATATTCTATTGTTGTTGGGAAGGTGTTCTATATACGTGTGTCAGGTCCAGTTGGCTTATCGTATTGTTCAAGTGTCCTGTTTCCTTATCTTCCACCTGGTTGTTCCACCCATTATTGAAAGTGGGGTATTGACGTCTAAAACTATTACTGTAGAACCATTTCTCCCTTCAATTCTGTTAATATTTGCTCTTTGTATCTTGGGGGTCTGATGATAAATGCATATATAATTGTTATATTTCTGTGAATTTACCCTTTTCTCAGTGTAGTGTCCTTTGTCTCTTGTAACAGTTTTTGACTGAAAGACTATTTTGTCTGATATTAGTGTAAGCCACCTCAGCTCTCTTTGCTAGTACTTACACGGAATATCTTTTCCATCCTTTCACTTTCAAGATGTTTGTCTTTAGATCTCAAGTGGGTCTCCTGTAGACAGCATATAGTTGGATCATGTTTTTTATCCATTCTGCCAATCTCTTCCTTTTGGCTGGAGAATTTAATCTCTTTAATGACTGATAAGGAAAGACTGACTTTTGCCACTTTTCTATTTAATTTTCTCTCTGCCTTAGAGTTTTGTCTCTCATTTCCTCCTTACTGTCTTCCTTTGTTTTTAGTTGATTTTTTTTGTAGTGACACATTTTAGTTCCTAATTAATTTTGATACGAGGTACTAGGAAGGATACTGAATATGGCTTCTAAGGGCTGGTCCTAACCAAACTACACAGAGAAAAATCTGGCTATGCTCAGTTTAGGTTCACCTATGTTCTCCATCTCTTTCCCTGCACCACCTCTTTGGGGACAGGAGACCAAGAAGCTTGCAGAAGTTCTTATCTTCAGTGATTTCGGTGAGTTACTGTGTTACGAGGACTAGGTCCTCACCCAGAGCATGATGGACATAGACTACTTCTCCACAGAGGGGAGACCAGCTTAAATTATGGTCAACAACACTCTTCTTTTTCACTCTTCATTGATTCTGTACCTGTCAGAGGTGGTGTCTCTTGTCACTTGAGTGTGTGCTGCTTCTTTCCACCAGCAGTTACTTTGAGATTGTGGTTCCTTCTTTTGAGTCTGTTGCTTATATAATGGATGGGTCTTGCCAGCCCAGTCCCCCTTTAGAAATTACCAAATCTGTTCAGATTTTAGTTACAAATCTGTTCAGATTTTAGTTACTCATCCTGCACATACCAGCTGTCCGTACCCTTTCAATGAAAAAGCAAGCTGTGGCTTGGATCCTTGTGGAGTGTCAGAGGCAGTACTCTGAGCTTACTCAGGGATACATTTTAGTCATGAAATACATACCTTAGTTCCCACAAATTGGAGCCTTCACTGCCAGCTTCTATATTTACCTTGTGGATTTGGGGAGAGCAGTTTTTAGTAACATCTCTAGGACACACAGGTTTGTAAAAGTCCTTCTCTCTGTGCTTCTCCTAGGTGCATCATTTCTGGCATGGCTTCAGGAAGCATTGTGCTATTTTACAACGACTTTAACCGGTGGCATCATGAATACCAAACCCGCTACTGATGGTGACAGCTGTACATCAACTCTGCCCCTAGGATGAGCAGAAGTACCTGGAGCATCATTCTCTTCTACCACATCTGAATGTAACTTAAATTTGCTCAAAGAAGCAAAATATTTTTTAAAGTTATTAATAATTGCTATTTTTGTAGTCTTTGCTTGACTTTTTTGGGGGGGATTAGCAAAGCAGAAAACTGGCTGCTGGGTTCTGTAGTTTTAAAAAATCTATATTTTTAGTCATAATGAGAAGTCTATTTTCACCAATTATGGAAACATACAGTGGAGCAAGTAAACCACTTATTCCAGCTATAATATTATGAAGAACATTTCCCATGCATCTACAAGCTTGAGAAATAGGATTTTCACAGTGGGGAAGTGGGTTACAATATTGGAATAGGAAAATTTGATGCTGTAATTTGGGTCCTGTATTTTTCCAAACAACTGTGCTTCTTCAGCACTAATATTTCTGGGATTTAAATAGTAATGTTTAAATTATGGTAAATGTAATTTAAAACATCTCAATTAAGTCTGTCTATCAATATTGTTCTTCAAGCATGTTTTAGACCTAGAAAAGTATGGTTTGGGGGAGGCTATTTTATTGTGTGGTTAGCACAAGGAATCTAATTTATAGCAAGTGTGAAATAGTTACCATTTTTTCCTGATCTGTCATCTTCATAGCACAACAAAACGAAATGATGGAAATGCTCTTGAGCTCACAACATTTGTTTTTCTTTTAAAGTAAATGCAAGTACCAAAGCTCACTACTGCGGTTTGCCTGTGCCTGGACAATGAGGCGGAGCCACTGTTGTTTTGTTGGGGCACCCCCTTCCCTCCCCGGGTTTGCAAATAGAGGCTACCGGGTGCTGTATTCAGCAACACCTGTTTTACTATTTGTTATTAAACTATCATCTCCACCTTCCTTTTGATTAGCAATTTGTACTAAGAAACGAAACAATGTTATTTGGTGGTGTATAATTCTACTTTTCTAGTAGATTACTGTGTGGAATTCTGTGAAAAATATTTGAGAAAAGGCCTGTATTGCATAAATAAATTCTTTGTATGTTGTGAACTTTGATCTCTATTTCTCTTGCAACAGACTTCAAGTGGTCCCTCTTTTTTTCCTACACACTCAGCTCTTCTCTAAAAGCAAGGATTTGGAATGAACAATTCAGTTTGACAGAAAAAGCTGAATAAAATGGCATCTGTAATTGAATTGTTGGAAATGCCTTTTTTGCTCCTAAATTTTAAACATCATTAATAAAATAATGATTCACAAAGAAAGAAAATGTCAAACTCTGATTCAGTCCTAGTTTTTGATCAATAACCAATGTGAGAGATCCTCCTGACTGAAAACAGGAAAATGAGCTTTCTTTGGCCAGATCTCTCCTCTTTCTTACTGAGACTCACACAAATGACCTAGACCTGAATCTTACAAATGCCTAGCAAGGAACTTTATGTACCACTTCATCTGAGATCCATCATTAAGAAAATAAATAGACGACGGTGAAATGTGGGGGAGGGAAAGTACATTTTAGAATCAAAGAAATACCCAAGTTGCTGATAAATTAATTAACTGATGAACATCTTCACTGTTTGTTTGTTAATGTCCTCATTAACTTGTGAATATTACTCTTTGAAAACTTCTTAAGTGAACAATGGTAAAAGAAAATACCAATACCTAAGTCGTGCCACACAAATGATACTTCAACCACCCTATGCTTAACAAGCCTAAAGCAAAGCTCCTCTTGAAACCTAAAAGGAAAAAAAAATCAGTATCTCCACTACCTTTATTGTTTTAAAAACTTACGACTAACGAAAATTAATTGAAACATAAGTTGGCCGGGTGCATTGGCTCACGCCTGTAATCCCAGCACTTTAGGAGGCCGAGGCAGGCGGATCACTTGAGGTCAGGAGTTCGAGACAAGCCTGGCTAACATGGGGAAACCCTGTCCCTACTAAAAATACAAAAAGTAGCCAGGCTTGGTGGTAGGCGCCTGTTAATCCCAGCTACTCAGGAGGCAGAGGCAGGAGAATTGCTTGAGCCTGGGAGGCGGAGGTTGCAGTGAACTCAGATTGTGCCACTGCACTCCAGCCTAGGCGACAGAGTGAGACTGCATCTCAAAAAATAATAATAATAATAATTAAAATTTAAAAAATAAATATTAAAAGAAACAATACTTCATGAAACAAATAAGGCTGGCATCAACACATGGGCTTCTTAATGACAGAATCTGTTCAGTAATAACATTTACAGTTTATTCAATATTTACTTATTCAATTTTAACTAACTCCTTAAAAAGGCTATTACTTTACATAAATGTAAGCCAGCTAAGAAAAAGCCAGCTAAGTGAAAGTAGAGGTGTTTTGGGGCTGGAAATAAGGGAACCACAACAGAGGGAGCAGTGCGTCTGCACAGTGAGTAGATGCGGCTGGATGGGCTGTGCTTGGTCCATGTACAGTAACTGAGGGCTGGTTTAAGATGCATTGCCTCCAGAAATTAAGATTTTCCTCCCTGACATACTGTTTCTTACTGAAATATAACCAATCAAGTCCCTGAGATGCTGTCATTTAAGAAATACCATTAGATCTGTGGGAGAAAGCAGGAGAGCTAAGAGACAACATGAACATCCGAAAAACATCGATAGAAACGTGTAGACAACACACTCTCAGATGACAGTGTCTTACTCCCAAAGTACACCAAAAATCAGTGTTTTCATAAATTACTTCAATAAAAGAGCTATTTTATCCATTGAGAAACATCACACCTCACTTCTGCTTAGCATACACAACAGGAAGATTCCAAGTGTCTTGCACAGGAATTACGAGTAGCCGTGAGCAGGGCATGAGGTCAGGAACTGACAACCCGGGGTCGCCCTTTCCACTCGCTCTAAGAGCAGCCGAGCCAGAGGGTCAGGGGCCAACCACACACTTGGTGTCACATGTCCTCCTACACCTGTCAGAGGGACAGTGAGATGGCAGTGGTTGTGTGAGTCAAGCTTGCAGGAGATGGTCAGGGAACCTGGGATGTAGCCACTGCACCTACTTTGTACCCTTCTTAGCAAATACAACAGCTTGCAGCAGCTTAGATTCACCATGAAAGGTGGTTGAGGTAGAGATTTTCAGTAGGTTTCTTTGGTATCTTGTTACTGGCTGTGATCTCAAGAGCTTCCAGCCATGCAAATAAAAGGCCTGGTTTAGTCCTTTCTAATGTGACAGTCCTGCCCCATTCTCCATCCCTGCTAAAAAAGGCAGCTGACCCATGATATAAACAGATTCCTCCTGGATCCAGATGCAGAAGTGTCTTTCATTTAAAAGCTGGAATAAGCCACCACTGAGCTAGGTGGAGAAACTTCACCAGTTCCTGGTGTGTGTTCACTATGGATTAGCCCCATAGCCCCACATGAAATCACATTAGGCCAAAGTATGTTCACAAACAGAAGCAGGATGTAACTTTAGTCTCAAAATCTGCATAACCTATACATGAGCAAATGTGCTAGTGCCTCCACTTGGCTATTTTTGCCCTACCACATGGAAGGAAATCGTTTCCTACTTCAAGCAGAAGAACACCCAGCCCAGCTTACCCCCGTTTTGTGTAGCATAAAGTTGAACCACTGTTAATTCTATAGGCTTCACAAGTTATCCTTGCAGGGGAAGGAGGCTGGGAAGTTTCAAAATTTCCTACTTGTAAGAAGGAAGGGCAAGACCATAAAGTAGCAAATACATAAATAGCCAAACAAACCATTTTAAAGTTCTACTTCCTCTCAGGTGAGTGGGAGAAAAATCTTTTGGATTTTTCTTTTAGATAGACTTGAAAAGTTGAGTCCATGATGAACTTCTTGCATGCTCTATAGTCATAAGATCGCTAAAGACCCAAGACTACTGTTAACACCACTGACACATCACTCCCAGCCCTGGCTGCTATGAACCAGAACCGCAGACTGCTCAGAGCAAGGCACATCACATTTTTCTCTCATGAAATGAAGGGTGGTTTGGCCTTTAGGCAAGCAATTTGTTTTGAGAGAGCTGGGCTCCTCCAGCAAGGTTAGAAGACAAACTGTGAATGCTCCTATGAGATCTTGGTGATCTATGCCAGAAACATGAAGTGAACTATTTTTCTGTCTCAAATTCAGGAATATTTTTCCTTGCCAAAACCAAGATTCCAGGGAGTTGGGCAGGCTTGTCCCTTCCTCATACCTGGCAGGAAGCTGGCTGCTTTGCAGCTTTGGCCTTGGATAATTTGAAAGACATCCCCGGAACTAACTTCAGCCTCAACACAGACAGGCATCCAACCACTCCTCGCAATGCAACAGACTCAGCCCGCCTGATGGTGCTGGAGGCCTGTGGTGCCCAGCTCTGCCCAAATTGAAGGGGCATGGTAGGGGCCAATGACTGTCTCTGTATCAAATATATGCTTTTCTTCCCCTCAGCCATTCAATGCTGGCAAGGCCTTCCCACAGCTGTCTTTGAGTTCAAGGCTTTGTTTTTTATCATAAGATTGCCCCTTAGAACCCCCTGGCCAAGACTCACCAAAGTTGCACATGTCAGCCTCCCTCTGGAAAAACCACTCTCTGACTTTGATCTAAATAAGTGCCCCTGCTCTGATAACTTCTCAGCCACTGACAAAGTGGTAGAAAATGAAGGGTGGTTTGGCCTTTAGGCAAGCAACTTTTTTTTTTTTTTTTTTTGAGACAGAGTTTTGCTCTTGTTGCCCAGGCTGGAGTGCAATGGTGCAATCTTGGCTCACCGCAACCTCCGTCTCCCGGTTTCAAGCGATTCTCCTGCCTCAGCCTCCTGAGTAGCTAGGATTACAGGCATGCGCCACCACACCCAGCTAATTTTATATTTTTAGTAGAGACGGGGTTTCTCCATGTTGGTCAGGCTGGTCTTGAACTGCCTTCCTCGGGTGATCCGCCTTGTCTCCGCCTTGCTGGGATTACAGGCGTGAGCCACGTGCCTGGCCAGGCAAGCCATCTCTTTTGAGAGAGTGGGCTCCTCCAGCAAGGTTAAAAGCCAAACTGTGAATGTTCCTATGAATTCGCACCCCACCTGTGTCTTACACACGCAGCACTCCTAACACATCTCTGACTGCCAAAAGAGGAAACCTTGTCATGGGGCACCTGCCCTGCCTGGGGAAGCTCTTGACCATTCCATTTCCTTATTTATTAGACAAGGATATTAATATCTATCTCTTAGGGCTGTGGCATATCTCAAATGAGATAGGATGAAATACTCCATAAGCTGCAAACTTGTGTGATTGTCATGATCTTCTTCTTTAGAAAGCAGCTGATTCTGTGACTGCACTGCTCTGTTACTAGAATCTTACTCTCACTCTGTCCTTAAATCTGACCTTTTGTGCCCCCTACCTGCTGACCTCAGGCTGACCATCCAGAGCAACTAAAAAAAGGCTGTGCCCCTTCTATGGAGCAGTCCTTTACACAGCCAAAGACATTGAGCAAATGTGCCTCGACTTTCCTCTTACCTCACAGTTTTCTCCACCAGTCCTTGGCTGCCAGGATTCACACCCCCTCACCACTCCAGCTGTCCTCTGTCGGGTGATCATTGCTCTTGCTCTGCACCACATGTAACAAGGTCCCCAGAACAGAACTCCATCCCCAGCTAGCACTGCCTGGGATCTGCGCGTGCTTCTCATAACACAGTTAAGATTATGCTAATGTTCAAGCAGCTGTGTTGGCTCCTAACGACTGGGCGGTCATTGAAATCCTCCAGGCCCAGATCTTCAGCCGTGCTGCAGGCCAGGGCCTTGCCTTGGGTAGTTACAGAATTGAATCACAGCACTTCACACTTCACTTCTACACCGTGGGTTTGGATCAGTATCCTCACCTGCTGAGATCCTTTTAAATGAGTCCATTCCATTAAAAAAAAAAAAACAGGAAAGCATTCTAAGTTGTTATTCACATCATATGCGGGAAAAAAAAAAAAAGGTTAAGAACAAAGACTGAAGCTGCAGCATGGCAGCCACTAACCACGTGGCTGTTCAACACTGGAAATGTGCCCTGTCCAAACTGAGACATGCTATAAATGTAAAGCACACCAGATTTCAAAGGTTTAGAACAAAGAAAGTAAAACATCCTAGTGATTTATGTTGATTACATGCCAAAATAATACTTTGGATGTATTTAGACATATTAGGTTAAATAAAATATACTATAAAAATTAATTTCACCTGTTTCTCTAAAAAATTTTTTTAACATGATACTAGGAAATGCTGTCTCCTGTGGCTTGCATATTTCTGTGGGACAGCAAACTGTTCTAGAGATCTTTCTCCAAGACAACATCAATCAGCACTCCTGCTTTCAACATGGTGAATCTGTCCTGAGCTGTCTTCACCATCTCCTAATTCACATTTCACCATTTTAGCCATGAAGATATTCTGGGGGAAGTTTTGCCAAATGCCTTCAATTTATATATTCAATACATTTCTATCATAGCAACCTTTCTGAAAAGAGAGGGTGAGAGGAAGAGAGAGAAAATGAGAGGCTGAGACTCGGCCCGGCTCAAGTAAGGGAATCAACATGAAACAGTTCATGCCATTCTCTCTGTGCAGGATTTGAGGAACCCAGCAGTTTTAAGTACCTGTATTTAATTTAGATCCTGAGACAGAATTACAGCTTAATAAATGTTTGCTAAACAAGTGGGCAGATGAACAATCTGCCTGTATCAGAACCTTTATTTAGCTCCTCCCCTCCAGGCCTTGATTTAGCCATGGATAGACAGGGTCACCCCCGCCCCGCCCCCAAAAAGAACATGCACTTTAGAGTCAGCAAAAGCTAACACTGCATCATGGCTCCACCTCCTGCCAATTCTATTACCCTGGAGGTGTGACTTGACCTCTTGGTTTGCTCCCCTAGCGCCACATACTTCTGTAGGTTTTCCTGGGGTCATAACCATTTTAGCAGGATGGCTAGGCAGTGCCGCCCCTGCCAGCTCATGCTACTTCCGGTCTCCATCCTTACAGAGGGCGGAGGCATGTACCGACAAGAAGAGGCTCCTGCATCCTGACAGTGACTGGCACTGGCCAGCCACTTATTTTGCCTTTAGCAGATGTCTTTCTTTGAACCTCACAGTTCAAGGGAGGGAAATGGGTTTGGGGCTCAGATCAGTGCCAGAGGCCTTGTTCTATCGCTGTTTGCATTTTTCTCCTTCTTCCTTTTATTAGCTCTTCCCTTCCATTAACAAAAATATTTCTATTGAAAGCTATGAAAAAGCTTGTCCTGTAACCAAAGAGGAGGCACAAGCAGAATGTTCTAGACCTATACATCACTGCTTTTTTGAAACTGTCGTCCTCCTGTAGCCTGACCCTGCTACAGCTGTGGGCCTAGGAAGCCCGCCGCCCGCTCCCCCAGCCCGCAACCCACCGCACCTTGTGGCCAACCTCTGGACCTGATCAGGGGTCAGCACCAGCCCAGAACTCATTGTATCGCCTGGCCCTTGAGATTGACTCATTCCTTCAGCAATCTGAACTGGAAGATCCAGAGTCAAGTTAGATGGTTTCAAGCCCTGGGATTATAAAGCCTTGAAAAGTTGCGGACAGAGGCAGTACCAGGGTAACCTGAACCACAGGTAAGTGGGTACTATGAGGGGACAGAAACAAGAGTCTTGCAGAGAAAGCTGTAGCTGACAAGGCACTGGAAAAAGCAGAGACAGGAGACCACACAACCTCAGAGAGAGACAGGGGAACAACTGCCCCAACTCTCTGCCCTTCCTGCTGCTGCTTCATAAGGTTCCTCTGTCGCACACCAAGCACACCATTTGTTCTTGAGCTTTTGTGATGTGTCTTTTTTTTTGAGGCAGGTTCTCACTCTGTCACCCAGGCTAGAGTGCAGTGGCACGATCTCAGCTCACTGCAGCCTCTACCTCCCTGGTTCAAGTGATTGTCCCTCCTCAGCCTCCTAAGTAGCTGGGATTATGGGCATGCGCCACCACGCCCGGCTAGTTTTTCTATTTTTAGTAGAGATGGGGTTTTGTCATGTTGGCCAGGCTGGTCTTGGAACTCCTGACCTCAGGTGATCCACCCACCTTGGCCTCCCAAACTGCTGGGATTACAGGCCTGAGCCACCACGCCCATTCTGCACCTGTAACCAGACAAACTTCAACCAAGATTCATTTCCATGTGTGTTCTCCCCGAGCTTCCTCTTTTCCCCGGGTGGCCCTGAGACTTTGCAAAACAGCCACTGGCACCCGCTGGAACCCGGGCCGAGGAGGAGAACTTTGCTCCCATACATCCTTAGCCAAACAACAGCACAGAAACCTTTGCCCATCCCTGATTACTTTTTTTCAAGAGGGAAAAGTTTATTGCAGGTTGGGGACACTTGTAAAAGGCAAAATCTAACAATGAGAACGAACTATAGGGCTCGCCAGTTTAGAAGATGAGCAGGTAAAACAAATACACGGATTATGTACAATTATTAAAAAGAGCAGGGTGGTGGACAAAAAGGAAAAACTGCCAGCAGCCTTCCAGAAGGTTCACAGAGTATATCCAGGGAGCACCTTCCCGCCCAGTCCTGGCTGCCTCGGGCATGCCTCCTCCTGTGGTTACCTGCCCTGCTCCAGATGAAATGCAGATGAGGAAGCAGCTACCGGGGCTCAGGAGCAGAGCTCATTCTGCTCGGCAAGTCGCTGGCTTGCAGGGAAGCAGCCGCTGGGTGCCGCATGCGCCAAGCCTCTCATTAAAAAGCCCAGAGGGCAAGTTCACGGGCATTTCCTAACACACGTGTGGGAAGAGCTGGGGGAAACCCACACCGCCCAGGGAAGAAGTGGCTTCTTCCATCGTCTGTGTATGAATGAATACTGAGCATTGTCTCTGGGGAGCCTGGTGCCCCAAGCCGAATGGCTGAGCCCGCCGCCCTGGGCCTCTGAGCGCTTCTCAAAGCCTGCAATCCGTGTCCAATGACCAAATTGTCCTCTCAGGCGCTCACTTCTTCTATTAGAAAGCCAGTCCTCTTAGCCCCCATATCACCTCTCACAGGACACCCACAAAAGGACAAATGCAATTCTAAGTCTTTCGTAAAAAAAAAAGAGAGAGAGAGAGAGAAAAGAAAAGAAAGGGAGTGTTCTGAGTCTACTTAAATAAGGAAAAGGCCTTGGTTCATCCAAAGTGTTTCCAAAGTGTTTCTATAAAAATGCATCGAATGCTGGAATAAAGTTGCACATTCTCCTGGTGAAGCTGTAAAATGTCCAACAAACTGAAAATGACGGGATGATCTGGAACGAGTCTCTCCGAACAGCTGTTGGCAGAACGGATGCAGCCTTTGATGCCTCCAGGAACCAGAAGGCAGAGCCCAGAGCACCAGGCCAGGCTCCGGCACGCCAGGCTCCGGTTCCCAGGCGGCCTGCGGAGGACCCGCGAACTCAGGCGCAGGCGGTGAAGAGAGGGAGGCCTGCAGCAGGGAGGCCGGCGAGGCCGAGCAGAGGGCTGGCTTCCTGGGCTGCAGCAGGCGGCTTCGCCCGTCTGCAGGAGGCTCAGTCTCGGTGGCGGCGCCAGGTTCCTGCCCGCTCACCACCCGGGGCAGCGGGAGGAGGGTGGGGGGTGGGAGATTCCGGAGGGGTGGGGGCCGGGACTGCTTCCCCAGGCACAGGGATCTCCTCCACTGAGGGAGGAACTGGAGAGATGGGCTCCATCCCAGGCCTGCCGCTGTCTTGACAGTGCTTGCTGCAGAAAATCTGCCCCTCCTTATCTAGAGCCGTGTTCTGAGGAGGAAACAGCAGAGACAACACATTACCCGGGCCCAGGCTCGGGTCCCAGCTGCCACGAGCAGAGAGCACAACAGAGCATGCACGGGCCTCAGAAACAGAAGAGGAGAAATAACGCCAAGCTTCTAACAGAAGCCTCACAGGAGAGTAATGGTTTCGGGAACCCACCGGGGGAAGGGGCTGTCCTTGGCCTCTGCTCCTACCCTGACCCAGGCTGGCAGCCCAGGACACACTGGATGTCTGTCGTCTTCTCTCGCTTTGGGCTGTGCCTGGGTTCTCACCCCTTCAGCCCAAGCCCAGACCTTAAGCTCAAAAGAATTCTGAGACAATAAGCAAACCTTACAAGGGTGCTCAGTCTTGGAGAGTTTACTCTTCCAAATAAAGCTCTCTGTCACAGATTGAAAAGTTACCCGCATGTCCTGTGAATAATTAATCCTCCTAACAACCTGAGATGCTGTGAAGCCTATAAAAGGCCCAGGAATTGGATGGAGCCACATTACTCTTTTTTCAGATCCTCCATGATATCCTCACCTGTCTTCTCTTCACATGAAGCAAAGCTTCCTTATCCTGAAACATCCTGAAAGTTTTTAAATCTGCTCAGCTCTTCAAGGAACAGAGAAACAGCCACAAAGATGTGAGGCAGTCACCTTGCGTTCTAAGCCTGGCTGGGGAAGGGACCCCGGTCCTGCTTTCTCCTTCTCTATTTCCTGCTTGTCCAGGGAAGCCCATCAAGCTGCCATCTCAATGGGCTTCCCAAAAGTGAAGGAGATGGCAGTTCCCAGGCACCTTTAGCTGAAAGGGACAATTGCCAGGAGGCCTTTTGTAATCTAACTACCCTGGGGAGGGAGAGGGGAAAATGCACTAAAGATTCTTTCAGTACTTTAACAACAACAAAAAAAGTCTGGAGAAAATAAGAATCAACAACAGGGCTTTCTAAGATGAACTTGGGTGGCGGCCTTCAGGGCACCTGGGGCCACCTATGGAATGGCTGCTTCTCCACAGGCCCTCACAAGTTCAAGCTGAACAGTCATCCATTTCTGGCCGGGTGCAGTGGCTCACACCTGTAATCCCAGCACTTCCGGAGGCCAAGGAGGGAGGATCACTTGAGGTCAGGAGTTTGAGACCAGCCTGGGCAACACAGAGACTCCATCTCCACAAAGAATTTAAAAATTAGCCGGGCAAGGTGGCGTGCACCTGTAGTCCTAGCTACTTGGAGGCTGAGGCAGGAGGATGGCTTGAGCTCAGGAGTTTGAGGATACAGTGAGCTAGGATCACACCACCGCACTCCAGTCTGGGCAACAGAGCAAGATCCTGTCTCAATAAACAAAACTCCCCAAATCCCTACAATTTCCAAGGACAATTTCAACTACCTGGAGAAAGGGTAACTGTGGAAAACTCCACTAAAAGATGCTCCCACCTACATGGGAAGCAGAGAGCCAGCATACAGGTTTTTCCTACCACAAAATGTCTCCTGGGTACAAGAAAACAATCCCCCCGTTATTTCTCCTTTTCTCTTCCTGTCAGAAGCACAGGGGCGTGTGTGGCAGAAGGCAGGCTGGCAGTGCGGTTAGTACATACCATGGCCTTGGACCTAGCCAGAGGGAAGCAATGCAGGCGGCGGGAGAGGCAGAAGGCAGGAGAGAAGCAGGGACAGAAACTAGACTTACTTTCAACAGAAGCAACACGAGTGAAACAGTTTTGTCTATCTTAAATTAAGGCAATAAACCCAAATCCTTCCCCAACTTCCCCCTGAAACAAGGCATAATCCCCCAGCGAAGAAGGCAATGCCCTTGAATCCGTCCCTTCTCAAGTCTGCACCGCAGGCGCCGAGTGACGGCGGCTTCTCGGCATTCCCTTCCCACCACAAGATGGTCTCTCCTGGTCTCTGCAACTGGGGCGAGCCCCCCGGGGTACATGGGAGGCCGTCCTGCATGCACCCTGCTCTGTCCTTTCTTACGCATGCTAAGGACAAGTCCAAGAAAATGGGAACTGTAATCCCACACCTCAGCCCTGCCTGAAACCAAGGCCTCACCCATTAAATTATCTTCTCTTATCCCAAAGGCTGGCTGAGATTACACTTACTGATACAAACTCATCTTTGGAAATGCAGCTGGAGAAAGAACAAAAGCCTTCACGAAGGCACCATCTTAAGCTGCTCTTTCCGAAAAGCCACTTTTCACCTAAGTGGGAAACAGCATCGGTAGGAGAACTATGGGACTCCTCCCGTGCTCTCACCAGCTGTTGGTCTGGAAAGGCAGGCAGTGTGGTAAGCTGAGAAGTTTGAAAATAAAGTTTTCCAGGGGCCTGCTTGGCTGGCTGGAAAGGATGTGAGTAGGTACAAAAGACCCACACCAGTAAGCAGCTGAGAGCCGGACGGCGGCATCAGAAACTGAGACAAGCATGCAGGCGTGAGAGGGGCTGAGGATGGGGCGCGCTGGTCGGACGCAGCGTGGTGAATACCAGGATTCTGCTTCAGGCTCTCCCACTGTCTCAGCGGGGTAAAGAAGGAAACTCTGAGGTGCCTCTCAAACTGTCAAATCAAACTGTCAAACAAAATGCAGATAACACCATCAACTTTACTTTTTTTTCACCTTTATGGACCAATTTCTAGCCCATCATTTTCTCACTGAAGTCTCAGGCCCCAGCTCTGGGGATGAGAACACTAGGGTGACAGCAGATGGGAAGGTCCTGTCTGTAAGTTATCTGATGATTCAACCTCCAGACGGTTGACACTATTTCCACTATCATTTGTATCTGCAGAAAACCAGGTTGGCCCCACAGTCTCAGTTATGAGGACCTATGAGTACCAGGGAGAGTCATTTTGAGGTTATTTTTAATGTAAAAACACTTAAAACTGTTCCGAAGACAGGACACACAGTGACGTGAGGAGGATGAGGAGGATGAGGAGGATGAGGAGGACGAGGAGGATGAGGAGGACGAGGAGGACAATACAGCAGCATCGCAAGTTCCCCCACACAACCATGCCCCAGACCAGGTCCTGCGCCAGGGGAGGATCAGCAGCAGGCCTTCCCCTCCCACTTTTTGGGACAGCCCAAAAGTCACAGGCTGGTGTTTTGGCCATCGAGAATGGGTGCCACCAGAGGCAAGACTGATTGAATTTCCCTGTAGGTACTGAATGGGATCATGACATCAGCAGTTCCTCTGAGCTAACAGCCTGCAGAGTTGTGTAGGTAACATGGGGTTAGAGGGGACACCCTGCCAACATGCGCAAAATGACAACTGAACACACATAAACATACAACATTTACAATCACCATCAGAGCTGCAAACAATAACGGGTTGTTTGTTCACACAAACACCCTGTCAGAGCCCAGGGGTTTGTCTTTTGAGTCCTGAACTCCTCATCAGCAAATGGAAAATGGTATTTGTAAACCACACGACATAGGTTCTGTCTGAGGGGGTCTAAGCGTCATTATCTAGGACAGAGCCTGTAGAACAGCTAATCATTCCAGAATGTCAGCTGAGAGCCAGCCATAAAGAGGCCGGGCACAGGCCTATGGCCACTGATTCCTATCTGGGCCCCTGAGTCAAAAAGTGACCCCAGCAATGACTCCCTTCACAGTCTCCGAGCAAACTCTCCTAAGCCCTGGGCACAGGGCGGTTAAAGGTTCTTCCTCTCAGAAGACTTAACATGGTTATTAAATTTTGATCCTAACCAATCTCTCTTCTTAAGGTTTTTTCATGACACGTTGAGTATGCCAATTTTTAATGTTTTATTTTTCTAAATTTTCCAAGAAGCTGCCTTACAACGCAGTGCACAGCAAGACTGTGTACCACTGAGCCCATCCATCAATGCTAGCTCTCGCAAGGGAATCGCTGGAAACATTCTCATGCTGTTGGCTCAATCAAGATGGTTCTTTTCAAAGTGTCTAAGCTGTAATTCTTTGACAACTCTGACTTTCTCAGGCTTTCAGCAAAACACTGCTAAAATTCAAGGGAAACCACAACTCAAAAGGCCTTCTCACTGCTTTGGCACAGAGCGCCCCCAAAGTCCTGCAAGCCATCAAAAGACTCAGCTTGCAAACCCAGGCTCTGTCTGGAGAGGGAGAGAGGGAGAGAGGGAGAGCACACTTTCTGGCAGGGGAGCAGCTGGGGAGTTGCAAGGACACACAGAGGGTGGCCACATAAACGCAGCCGGGGGACAGAAGAGAATGACGGCCCAGTGGGTGCTGAGAACCTGGTGGACGCTCAATCCATATAACAGAGTGCTGCATGCTCGTGGGGTGTGTGGGGTGTGTGGGGAATGTGGGGTGTGTTCGGGTGTGGGGTGTGTGGGGGTGTTGGGGGTGTGTGGGGGTACCTGGTGTATGCTCAATGCATATAACAGAGTGCTGCACGCTCGTGGGGGCGGGGGGTGTGGGGTGTGTGGAGGTATGTGGGGTGTGTTCGGGTGTGGGGTGTGTAGGCTGTGTGGGCTATGTGGGGGTGTGGGGTGTGTGGGTGTGTATGTGGGGGGTGGGGGTGTGGGGGGTGTGGGGGGTGTGGGTGTGGGGTATGTGGGGGTTATGTGGGGTGTGTTGGGGTGTGGGGTGTGTAGAGTGGGGGGTGTAGGGGATGTGTGGTGCGGGGGATGTGGGTTGTGTGGGGGTGTGGGGGGTGTGAGGTGTGTGGGGATGTGTGGTGTGGAGGGTGTGCGGGATGTGTGGTGTGGGGGATGGGAGTGTGTGGGGGTATGTGGGGGTGTGTGGTGTGGGGGGTGTGAGGGAATGTGTGGTGTGGGGGGTGTGGGGGATGTGTGGGGTGTGGGGGATGTGTGGGGGTGTGGGGGATGTGTGGGGTGTGGGGGATGTGGGTGGTGTGGGGGATTTGGGGGGTGTGGGGGATGTGGGGGGTGTGGGGGATGTGTGGGGGGTGTGGGGGATATGTGTGGTGTGGGGGATGTGTGGTGTGGGGGGTGTGTGGGGGTGTTGGGGGGTGTGAGGGATGTGTGGTGTGGGGGATGTGTGGTGTGGGGGGTGTGAGGGATGTGTGGTGTGGGGGATGTGTGGTGTGGGGGGTGTGAGGGATGTGTGGTGTGGGGGATGTGTGGTGTGGGGGGTGTGAGGGATGTGTGGTGTGGGGGTGTGGAGGATTTGTGGTGTGTGGGGATGTGGGGGGTGTGGGGGGTGTGGGGAGTGTGGGGGATGTTGGGGGTGTGGGGATGTGGGTTATGTGTGTGGCTTCCTTATAGCTTCTATCTAGACCCTGCGTCTTCCTAGGTAAGGCTCTCAGACAACCATGTACCATGAGAATATGCCACTGTTTCCCTTCTAGTTGGGTAGGAAACAAGGAGGACCTTCCCAGAGGATGAGAGGCCTGTCCCAAGTACGAGTGACGGAGCTGTGGAGGTGGCCCATCCTTAGCTGTCAGGACTCAGTGGGGTCACGGGGGGCCCAGATGTGAAACTCAGACGCCCATCACCTTGGCAGGTCTGATTCGAAAGCTGCTGCAGCCAACTCCAGCTCTGGGAAAGGCCACTCCACCCCTGTTCCCTGCTCCTGGGAGTGTGTGGGGAGAACCAAGGTCCCTGCCTGGGTGGCTGGCTGGCTTCTACCTGCTCACGGTGAGCTGGCCTTCCCGCCCAGGGTTGCATTGGCTCAGGCCTGGACAGCTGCTGCGGGTGTGCTGCCCTCACCTCTGGTTCAATGTTTTTTCCTTTTGATTCATTTACTCTCATGTCACTTTTCATTTTAATTTGTTGTGTTTATGTATTTAGGAGAGTTGCCTTAAGAAACATTTTGGAAGAAGAAAAGGCTGAAAAAAATAAGGCCATCGTTGTCACTGACATCTCATAAAATGTTACCAACCCTGAAAAATGAATATATATTTTTTTCCTTGATTATGTACCTTTAAAAGCCCCAAACTGTGTTTTATAAAACACTGATTTTTTAAAACTGAAATATGTTTAGCTTTGGCTGTTTCTTATCCCAAGTCTCAAAGAATAATTCACATCTCTAATAATCTATTTCTGAGGCCTTGGGGTAGGCAGGGAGTTAATTCCTAACACAACACACCCCTCCAGGGCTTGGGAGTCTCTCTAGATGAGAAGGCAGAGACAAGAGTGGAAGCAGCTGCCCAGAGGGCCCAGCCAGGAGCTCCTTGACGCCTGGACCCCTCACACCAGGCCTGCTGGTCCCTACACAAGCCCCTCCACACAGTGCCCAAAGCCTGGGAGTTGCCGAATGAGTGCCCTCCACATGCCAAGCCAATCTTCATATGAAATAGGACTACGGAAGGCACCAACTTCCATGTGAGGGCAGCTCCCGGCTACCTAATTCAAAAACTTCAAGGCCGGCTCCGCAGTCAGGCCAGACCTGCCGCCTTCCACTCACCATGATGACGGAGACCCCGGTGGTAGTGCTGTTCTGTTTGGGGAGCGCATTATTAAAGTGCTGTTTTAGTTTACCTGTCACCTCAGCTTGCATGTTATTCTCCTGGGAGGCATCATCCTACAGGAAAGAAAACAATCAAATACAATGCTTTTTCCATCCTCCCGTTTGAGTTGTCTTTTCCTTAAGAGTCCCCCTCCCCGCCTCAACCACCCTCCTGACCTCTTCCTAAATGGGCCCCTCTTAGCCACAGAATTAGGGAAACAATGATCTTTCAAAAATAACTATTGTTATTCAGTAGGCCCATGCCCTCAGAAAGACCCCACACCATTCCCTCTGCCCCTCAGGACTAGAGTAGGCCCAGGAGAGGGCACAGGTCTCCCGGGACACAAAGCAGGACACACTTTAGGCTACTGAGACCCTCACCCAAGGCACACGATTTAGTATGATCCCTCCCATGGAAGCATCAAAGATCATTGTTTTTCACTTTAATCAAGAATTCATTTAGTTGTTAGTCTTTATTGCTTATAATAAAAAAAAATGTGGTATCTTAGCTACTTGGTCCAAGAACCACGTCATTTAGCCCAAGAGAGCAGCAAGCAGGGTCCAGAGAAACTGCACCTGGATGGTGGGTGGGTGGGGCATTGGAGGTACACAGGGAGCTTCCCAACCGGAGTCAACAAAGCCCTGGGCTAATTAAACTAACTTCACTCTCCTGGAGCCTCCCAGAAATGACGGAAATGGGAGAAATGTAATTCCCACAGTCCCCATTTATTGGATCATGTTTCCCTCCCAGAGACCACCTGAGCCTCTGGGAGGGAACTCTAGTCAATATCATGTGTCTCCACTCAGCTCTGAAGCGATCCTGTCTCAGCCTCCCCATCAACAGCAAGAGGTCTCCTGAGAGCACGTTCCCTGAAGGCACAAAGGTCAGGGTCTGAAACAGGCTCATCTCCAGGGCAAACCCTGGAAACTCTCAAACCCCAAACCGCAGAAGACGAGAGCTAAAAGCCTCCTGAAGGAGCACTGTGGCCAATTCCATTTTGCAGATAAGGAAACTGGGGCCAAGAAAGGGACAGTGACTTGCCCAGGTGACTCGCGGGGCAGGGTCTAAGACTGGGACCCTAGTGCCAACTGCTTTCTTGGGGAGCCATCTTTATGCTACTTGCTCAATGGGACAGACAGACATCTACCATGGAGCTTGGATGCATAACTTTTGCATGTGCAAACATCACAGTGAGGAACCGTGCTGTTGGCCACAGAGCACAGTGAGGCCCATTCCCTGGGAATGTGGGTACTTACTGACACCCAGGGGTGACTCAGGATTTGTCCCGCGGTACACCGAGCTTCAACATTTACCTGAAGCATTTGACTGATTAATTCCTACAAATAAACAAACAAGTCAGACCACAGAGGAGGAGAAAGGAGGTAATTCCAGCATAAATACAGAAATCTGAGTTTGTGGCAAGCACTTCAGAGAAGAGCCAGCACAGCTGCTAACTGATTCAAACCTAAACGTGATTATACCTACTCTCCTAATGCCTTATAAGCAGTGCAAAAGAAAAGACAGTCTCTCCTGAGTCCATGTGAAACTAAGATGTTTTCACCTAAGAGTTCTGGTCATTGTTATTATTCCACAGTCTAAAACTGCAGTATTTTTCCTTTTGGCAATTCAGTGTGTTTCACAAGTTCATCCCTGTATCCTGATGGGTGCCCAATACATATTTCTTGAGTAAATGAAATAATGGATGTTGAGAACTTAGAGGAGCACAAGAGGATGGAGGGAAACTGGAAAGATGGCCAGTCCAGCTTTAAGAATTTGGCCAAGAACTTCAGAGACCATACCATGGGATAAACTTAAAAGAAGAACCACACATTAAAAGCCAAGGAGCTTTCTGGAATGCAATACCTAGCGCAGCTACAGCCCTGTGCAATGGGTGAGGACCCCACAACGTAATACAACCCACAGAAACAGGCCTGGAGGGTACCTTGGCAGAGTCCGTGATGTTATCCCAGTAGGGGGCCGGAAACTCCAGCTTCCCAGCCAAGATCTGGTCGAAGAGATCTTCCTGGAGATTGTTCTCACTAAGCCAGTGACAAAGAAATGGAAGAAAAGTCAAAGTCACCGTAGAATTTTTCAACAAAATGTCCACAGGAAGAGCGGGGAAAGGAGTCCAGTCTCTGGCTTTGACTTGGGCATTCCGTATCTCAATTATGTATCTCAATTCCATTTGTAATGACAGAACTTCTCCTTTTAGATAATGAGCCAAAGAACATTTCCATAGGCCGAGGAATTAAAGAGACAGAGACAATGACTCAAACATTTGCTTAATGAATGCAGAGTTTCGGTTTGGGAAGATGGAAAAGTTCTGGAAAGGGACGGTGGTGATTCTTGCACACAATGTGAATGCATTTAGTGGTACTGAACTGTACGCTTAAAAATGGTGAGAATGATCAATTTTCTTATGTATATTTACCACACACACACACTCAAGAAAATATTTGAATCCACAAATAATGGAAATCCTCATTTTGGGGGGAAAAAAATCAGTATCTGCCCTCAAGCTGTCATGGCAACAAGAAAGGAAAGGCAGAAAATCTAAGTCCGATCTCCTTTCCCTTCTTCTTTGCACTTTAACAGCCAAAGATCAGTGGAACAGCCAACATATGAAAAAGTCATAAGGAGTTCAGGATCTGGATAAACATTCATGAAATAATTAGTTCACTCTTGGAAACTGACTTTCATTTAAGCTCAGTCTGAGAGGAAGGGCCAACCCAAGATGCCAAGCAGAATGGCACAGGCTGAGGCAAACCCATGTCAGCAGCTCACAGGGGCATCCCTCCAACCTGCGCCTGACTGACCCACCCTCGGAGGTGCACTTACACAGTTAGTGCCTGATGAATACAGGCTGACCTGACTTCTCATGAATGATGTCATGGAAATGTGGAAACACCACTGGGGAAGACGTCCCCAACCTCCCATATAACCTCACCTCCACAGCCCCCTCACTTGGTGGGTGCATCGATGGCTAGAGTGAGGAACAGCATCACTAGTTTTCCAGGCCATTACAAGGCCCCATGAGAAAGCTCAGAATGGGCTGTTGGAGTCAACTTCAAAATCCAGGAGTGCAAGTTAAGTATTACCCGGCGAGTGTGCAAACTTTTCTTGGAATTTCTTCACCCAGCCTTCAGGGTTTTGCTACCAACCCTCTCAAAGGGGAACAAGGGCAAGCGTGGTGTCCTGAGAAACAGATCATTCAGGACAGTGTCTAGCAATAAATTCTAGGGCTGTTGTGATGACATGGCTCCCTCATTCCTCTCCTATTAAAAAGAGCAGAGTTGGCTGGGTGTGATGGCTCATGCCTGTAATCCCAACACTCTGGGAGGCCAAGGTGGGTGGATTACCTGAGGTCAGGAGTTCAAGACCAGCCTGACCAACTTGGTGAAACCCTGTCTCTACTGAAAATACAAAAAAATCAGCCAGGCATGGTGGTGCGCACCTGTAATCCCAGCTACTCAGGAGGCTGGGGCAGGAGAATCCCTTGAACCTGGGAGGCGGAGGTTGCAGTGAGCTGAGATCGCACCACTGCATTCCAGCCTGGGCAACAGAGCAAGACTCTGTCTCAAAAAAAAAAAAAAAGAGTAGAGTTTGTGAGCTTTGTAAATATTCATGACATTTAAGAGCAAGCCCAGGTCTTTGCTATTGTGAATAGTGCCGCAATAAACATACGTGTGCATGTGTCTTTATAGAAGCATGATTTATAATCCTTTGGGTATATACCCAGTAATGGGATGGCTGGGTCAAATGGTATTTCTAGTTCTGGATCCTTGAGGAATTGCCACCCTGTCTTCCACAATGGTTGAACTAGTTTACAGTCCCACCAACAGTGTAAAAGTGTTCCTATTTCAAATGTCCATCAATGATAGACTGGATTAAGAAAATGTGGCACATATACACCATGGAATACTATGCAGTCATAAAAAAGGATGAGTTCATGTCCTTTGTAGGGACATGGATGAAGCTGGAAACCATCATTCTCAGCAAACTATCGCAAGGACAAAAAACCAAACACCACATGTTCTCACTCATAGGTGGGAATTGAACAATGAGAACACTTGGACACAGGAAGGGGAACATCACACACCGGGGCCTGTCATGGGGTAGGGGAAGGGGGAGGGATAGCATTAGGAGATATACCTAATGTAAATGATGAGTTAATGAGTGCAGCACACCAGCATGACGCATGTATACATATGTAACAAACCTGCACGTTGGGCACATGTACCCTAGAACTTAAATAAAATAAAAACAACAAAAAAAAGCAAGCCCAGCTGAATGGACACCCACTGGTCCACAGAGTTTGGTGAAGAGGCACACTGAGGAGTGAAAGTCAGGACAGATAACTGGGCCAGGCAAGAGAAAGAGATTACCACTACTGTCCCAAAGAGTGATTTCCTGTGAATGCACACGCGTTTCTTAGTGTCAAAATGTTTTCTTTCCTTTTCACTGTTATTTCCCTGCTGAGTGAACTCAGCTTACTGCTCCTTCAAAGTGAGTACAGAATACATCTAAGATTATTAGATTTAGTGGAAAACTTCAGAGAACCAGAGGGCTCCAACATATGATGTTAGAAAAAGATATTTAAAATGAGCTATTTCCACAATCATTCTTTTTAGTCATCCTTACCTATTATTCCACTCAACTCCCCCTTATTTTTTCTGGAATCTCAAATATCTTATATTTTGTTAATGTATACAGCTTTTATTTTGTTAATAAATAGCTAAAAAGCTGGAAGTGTGTGCACAGCAGTCATTTATAGCAGCTGGTTCTTGGCAAAATACCCTGAGTCAACAAACAAAACCACAGGGTGTCTCAGCAATGAGAATGGGACCCTGAAGTATCCACTGTAAGTTGCAAGAGCTTTGACAGTTGGGGCCTGCCCCGCACTAGAAAAATAGAAAGCTAATTTATCTTTCTTAGCAGTCATGTAAGAAAAGCTGTTCTGATTAAATCCACACTGGATCCGGTATCGCATTGATACTCCACAATCTGGCTGAGATCCTTCATGGCATTTTTAAATTCTAAAACAATATAGCCTTTGGACCAAGGTGCCGTAAGTCTAAAAATGTCCATTAAGAAAAACTTGAAAAACAACAAAAGAGTTTGTGCACACGCTCTCTTTTCAATGACAAAGCATTATAATTCAGAAAAGGTAAACCTGAAAATGTTGTAAGCTATTTCCCAAATGATGTTCAAACATTCCACTTGGAGCATTTTGTGTGTGTTTTAAGAGAAACAAAAATTTCAGTATAGTCACACAAATAATACTTTTTGTCAGTGACCCTAAGAGCAGACTTGCTTAGACAACAACTAAAATTTTGGGTGCCTCTGAAAAACCAATCTACTTCTCGGTAATGATGAATCTGATGTTGAAAAAGACTAGAGGGAAATGGCTCAGGCACAGTGGCTCACACCTATAATCTCAACACTTTGAGAGGCTGGAGTGGGAGGACTGCCTGAGGCTAGGAGTTCAAGACCAGCCTGGGCAACACTGCAAGACCCCATCTCAACGAAAAACTTCAACAACTAGTGCAATATAGTGGTGCACACATGTGGTCTCAGCTACTCAGGAGGCTGAGGGAGGAGGATTGCTTGAGCCAGGAGTTGGAGACTGCAGTGAGCTATGATTGCACCACTACACTCCAGCCTGGTCAACAGAGACCCTGTCTCTTAAAAAATAAATTAAAAAAATTAAAAAATAAAATTTACAGACTGGGCAACAAAGTGAGACCCTATCTCTACCAAAAAAAAAAAAAAAAAAGCTGGGCATGGTGGTGTGTGCTTGTAGTCCCAGCTACTTGGGAGGCTGAGGTGGGAGGATTCCTTGAGCCTGGAGTGGGCTGTGATCACACCAGCCTGGGTGACAGAGCAAGATCCTGCCTATAAAAAAGAAAAAAAAAAGACTAGAAAGAGAACACATGTCAAACTACAACTAAAACCTGAAAAGCCTGAAGGAAGAAAGAATGAAAGATGCTATCGTCAGAGAAGCTAAAACTGTAAATTCCAAGTAACGATTGTAGTTTAAATGCTTTGGGTTAAAGTTGTCTTTTGTATAAAACAAAGAGACTATTTGAAATATGTGAAGGACTTTTAAGTACAAATGTAGACAATCTACTTTATACCAAACTTATTTACCGTAATTTAAAGTACCATGTCCGTAATTAATGACATGCATTTCTGTATTATAGTAGGTTATAAAATCTACCCAGAATGTCGCTGTATGCCATGAAGACACTTTGGTAACACACGTTTAACATTACAGATTCTCTTTCATCACAATATGATATAAAAGAGGGAAAGCGCTGTCTTAATTTTTAAAAGCTACCTGGAGGTCTATGACCTGCTTCTGAAGGCAGCATATAAGGGCAGCAGCTTTCAGAATGTAGCTTTATTGCTTTTGATTAGCTAAACTTATCTCTAGACCCCACAAAAAAGCTGCTCCCCGTTCAGTATCAATCCATGATAAATGCATCCTCTTCAATTTGAGTCTCACTTTTTTTAAAAAGTAAAAAGCAGTGAAAGAAAAAACTCTCAGGCTGCACCAGCAACTGCAAACACTAGAGGGAGTTGTGAGCACACAGTCCGCTCAAACTCATCACCCAAGACCCTTTCCCAGCTGATCCCAGCTTGGGTTAGCCAGGGAAGGGAACTCCACTGTAACTGGCCCAGGATCACCTGTCATCAAGATGCATTCCCCTTCTCCACTTGACCCCTTCTCCCAAAACATGACATCACTGAGACCAGCCAAGGCCCGGTGTGACTTTAAAAATGGCCACAAATTATTCCCTTCCCACTATATACTTAGCTCATTTTCTCCCACATTTACTCTTGGGTTAGCTGTTTGACTTGATTTGCTTAACGGCACATCAAGTGTGAGGTGAGCAGAGGCTGAGGAAGTGCTCGGGGAGCAGAACTTGCCCTGTCTCTGGCTGCTTTGGGGAATCTTGCATCCACTCTCATGGAAGCCCAGGACAGCCCCTGCATGATGAAAGCACAGGGCCAAGTCATCTCTCTTGTCCCAGTGGACACTGAGCCACCTACCAGGTGTGCAAGTGGGGTCATCCTAGACCATCAAGCCCCTGCTGAGCCAGCCAGCTCAGAAGATTCACTCAACTGATCCATGCAATTGTTTCACACTCCTAACTTCAGGGGTAGTGTGTTACTCAGCAAAAGCTAACTGAAATGTACAGTAATTCTACAGTCTGTGTAACCCACCTAGTTAATGACTTTGGTGGAAGACCACGATGTTGACGGCCAGATGGAAATATCTTTCCACCTACAAAAACTCCACTAATACCACAAAGGTCTCACTCAAATGCTACATCTTTCATGAATGCTACATCCTTGTGATTTCCAGCCCTGAACTAAGCACTCCCTCATGCTCTGCTTATTCTCTTTGATCAATAGTCTTGTGAGGTGTGTCTTTATCTATAGCATAAGGCTTTCAAAAGTAGAGACTAACATCTGTCAGTCTTATGTTTACTGCAATGCCAATTAGAAAATTGTTCAACGCAATGGGAAAACCGAGAATTTTAAAAAGATAATCCTTTCAACTTTTCTGTATGTTTGAAAGTTTTCACAATAAAATGTTGGATGGAAAAGAAGATAAAACCATTTTTCACATAGTGACCCAGTACAACACTATAAACACCATGCCATAGGCTAAATGTTCATGTCTCCCCAAAATTCACATGCTGCAACCTAATGCCCAATGTGATGGTAGTAGGAGATGGGACCTTTGGGCAGCCATGCTATTGTTAAGGGTGGAGCTCTCATGAATAAGATTAGGGCCCTTACAAAAGACCCCAGAGATTCCCTTGCCCTTTCCACTGTATGTGGTTAGAGTGAGGAGATGGCTGTCTATGAACCAAGAAGTGAGCCCTCAACAGTCACCAAATCTGCAGTACCTTGATCTTGGAATTCTCAACCTCCAGAACTGGAAGGATGAATTTTCTGGTGTTTATAAGCCACACTGTATATGATATTTTGTTATGGCTAGTCAAATAAACTAAGGGAAACCACAACCTCAGGTTTTGTTCACCACTTTATTCCTAGCACTTAAAATCATGCCTGGCACACAGTAGCTACTCATTAGACAGTTACAAAATGAACAAAGGGAAGAGATTAAAGTGAAAAGAGGTCAAGAAAACTCAGAAGAAAACAGAACATGCATGGTTAGATGAACTTCTGCTTCAGAGTAATTCATTTGCTCCAGAGGGGGAGATGAAACTCATCAAAAGAGCTGTGGCTGAAGCCCCTCACTCATTCCCTGCACAAAGATTGCCAGGCCAATGAGTGTGCTCCCGTGCCCTGCTCAAATACTCTGACCATTGTCAGTGGCCATCTCTGCTCCCACCATGTGAAGCAAATGGTTACCAAGACTCACTCAGTCTGTGTATTCCCAGGCCTATTTATACCACAAGTGTTTGTAATTCTATTCTTAATTAAATGTCACATGAACCAATAAAATGAATTTTAAGAAGAAAGAGATCCTGTTTCTATGAGAACAAACTTGAATGCTTGGAAAGAGGATATAAAAACTGCTGCCTAATTGAGTGAGAGAGACCACTATGAAGAAATGGAAGATGACATACCTGGAAGGATTCGGACTGCTTCACAAGGCTCTTTAAATCTTGCTGTCATTTGAAAAGATGGAGAAATTGGACATGGTAGACACTGTATTATGGGTTTATTTTTATGAAAGAATGAACACTGGAAACTCAGAGGACCAACCAAACACAAAGCAAAGGCCTTCACCTCACACCCAAAGTATGCTAATGAGAATATACATTAATAGGCTGTAAATTAAAAAGCGAAAGGTGTTTTATGTAATTTTTTTTTTCTGATTTTTTTTTTTCTTTTTCTTTTTTTTTTTTTATTATATTTTAAGTTTTAGGGTACATGTGCACATTGTGCAGGTTAGTTACATATGTATACATGTGCCATGCTGGTGCGCTGCACCCACTAACTCGTCATCTAGCATTAGGTATATCTTCCAATGCTATCCCTCCCCCCTCCCCCCGTTTTATGTAATTTTTAACTGGCATTTTTAATGACCAAACAGTCCCGACTTCCAGGAGCAAAGTACCTGCTTCTGGACCCAAGGGAGAACATTTGCAATTCAAATACGTCGCCCAAAAGGCCGCCTACCTTCGGAATGGTGGGAATCCACAGAGAAGTATGTATGTGATCACACCAGCTGCCCAAATGTCCACCTTCAGGCCATAGCTAGGAAAACAAAGTGGGTGAGGGGGAGAGAACTGATGGCTCCCAAGACCCTTCCATGGTACTGGAGTATTGCCTTTATTTGTTAGGAAAAGGATTATTTTAGTGTTAAATTATTCATTTCATTTCACATAGAGATGAATGAATCACACTTTAGAAAAAGGCATCTGTTTCTGCCAACCTAACCACAGTCTTGGTGACTACTGCCATACTCTCAAGAGTGGCCTTAGAACACAAGTCCAGGCCAGGGCTCTGGCCAGGTAAGCATAAAATCTGCTTCCTGAGGTCAAAATCATGGTGCAGGCAACAGACTCTCACTTCTTTCCATTCTCCACCTTCACAGGAGGCACTGTATACACAAGCAGCAATAGCAACAAAACAGACCTTTCTTACCAACTGTATACACAAGCAGCAATAGCAACAAAACAGACCTTTCTTACCAACTGTATACACAAGCAGCAATAGCAACAAAACAGACCTTTCTCATCAAAGTTAAAGTACTAACCAGGGCCACCAGAAGTCTTACCCAGTTTCAGCAATGATTTCTGGAGCCACATAAGTGGGTGTGCCACAGACTGTGTATAAAGGGCCTTCTACCACAGTCGCAAGCCCAAAGTCTCCCAGTTTCAAAGACTTGGTTCCATCAGGATATTCACACACCTGAAACAGAAATCAGCCAACAATCAGAAGATTTTTTTTTCCTCAACAATTGTGAGAGGGCTCTTGGAATTAGGCAGAAAGGACACAAATACATTTACTATTAAACTCGAATGAAATCTCTCCTTGTGATTTTTTTTTTTGAAGACACGGTCTCGCTTTGTTGCCCAGGCTGGAGTGCGGTGGTGTGACCACAGCTCACTGCAGCCTCAACCTCTGGGCTGAAGTAATCCTTCCCCCACGGAACCCCCAACAAGTAGCTGGAACTACAGGTACATGCCACCACACTAGGCTAATTTCTTTATTTTTTGTAGAGACGGGGTCTCCTTATACTGCCCAAGCTGGTCTTGAACTCCTGGGATCGTGAGATCTGCCCACCTCAGCCTCCCAAAGTGCTGGGAATACAGGCATGAGCTACCGTGCCCGACACCTCCTTGTGATTCTAACACCATGATTCATCTTTGTTGCTTTAAAGTGCTAATTTTTTTCTCTTCAGAGATTTTGCACAATTGTGTGAAATTTGGAAAAAATATTTTCCACTTTTGCAGAAAGTTCCTTCCCTAGGAGTACGATGAACACACGTGCTTGCTTACACAGTAGTTAGAGTGTAGGCGGCTGTGTACCTGATAGGCGTGAGAGAGGCCTCTAATCCTGGAGGTAGAAACTGACCTTTATTTAGCATTTACTATGTGTGATGTACTTGAGAGCCCAAGAAATGGTGTATTAAGTGTCCACCAAAGCACTTGGTGATCTCCACGGCACTAGCATGTTTAGTTCAGAAAATAAAATTGGGGGCAGCAATGGGGTCCTTGTTGTCTAGACAGTCAATGATGAAATACAAATATGATATAGGGGAAAACCTTGGAAGTTTAGAAAGAAAATGACCTTTGGGATCAGGCAGCCTGAACTTCCATAACAAGTCCACACATCTGGTTGTGTGACCTCTGAAGTCACATAACCTCTCTGAGCACATTTCTTCATCTATGAAGTGAGATAATGCCAGTACCTCCCTTGTGAAGTTGGTGTGAAGGTGAAATGAGACAAAGCTCAGAACAGGGCTCAATAAATGCTCCTTCCTTGTGGGTAATCAGATGAGAAAAAATAAAAAGTAAAAAAATAAAAAATGTTCCTTCCATTTCCTGGAAGGACTGGCTGATTAGATAATTATCACATTGGAAAAGGTTTAAAAATGCTGGTGGAGACGTGACTATTTATGCTTAAAGAACCTTTCTAGAAAGCATTCAGCAATATATAGCAAATTTCTTTATATCAATTATAACCTTTGACCCAATAAGTCTACTTCTCAAAACCTACTCTAGGGGAATAGAGATGGACCCAAACGTTATATATAAGGACGCTAATCTCAGAATTTATCTATGACTTTTAAAAACTAAGGGCAACATAAATGGGTAATAGGGCAATGACTATGATACATTACCATAATAAAATATTACATACTTTCTAATAAGCATTTTTCAAATATATTAATCATATGGGAAATAGTCACTATTATGCAGAGTTAAAAAATGCAAAATTACATATAAAATACTCAAAAATGTTAACAAGTTTATCTCTAAGTGGTAGCATGAAGGATTAATTTAATTTTCTTTATAGTTCTCAGTGGTTTCTAAAATGTTTACAATGAACATGTGTTGGTTTCATAATAATTTCATATATAAGCAAAACTACGGGATAAATATAACTTTAGAAAGTTAGGTTCTAAGTGAATAGTTTTGGAAGCAAACAAGTGCGTATGACAGCATAATTCAAGTTTCACCATGCAGTCCTGAACCTGAGTGTATAGTCTATTTGTCTCTTGGATGTCCATTTTGAAAACATGGAATTTCAGAGAATAAACTGCTGCAGAGACCTAGTCTATACTCATTGTAATGCCTGTTTCTATTTTTCTATTTTAAGCATAGTTTGCTTTGTCTCATATTTTGCTGAACCAGATATTTATCGCAACCACTATTAACTGTAGAAGGAGAAAAATTTAGAAAATGATGTTTTTTCAAGATAAGCATGTTAGCAACATCATCCATTAGTCTGCTACTTAATGAGGGGGAGTGATTTAAATAGTCATCAGTAAAAAAGAATGGAGAACCGCAGGGCTCTCCCAGGCCAGTAATTCCCCAAGTTTTACAGGCATTTTAAAGAGGACGGCACTGAAATACCTCCCTTACCTGTGATGTCCTTATCCATTTAATAAGAATATGTTTCACCTTTAGTATCTGAATAACGTTTTCCAGTCTTATATACTGAATACACATCTCTAACACATATCTTTATGACTTTAAAGTTCCACAGGAGTAATGATGAGGATTTTGAGTCCCTCATAGATATTTACAACTCTGAGTCAGCCCACAAGTCAGCAGAAACATTTTCAAAGATATGAATGATTCAGCCTAAAGTAACGGATTCCAGATTCTTAGTCACGTCACAGTCTTAGGAAAACTTTCCACCCATTATGTTTAATGTAAACATTAACAAGAACAATCTGATATAATTATAGTTAGAATTTATAATGCTTTTACCAAAACCCAGACTTTGGAAAGAAATTTCCTAAGTAATTACAGTGATAAGAATGTTATAAGCACAAATTCCTAACTGTCTGCATCATGAGAGTTAAAAAAAAAAGTTTTATTAATGTCACTGTTATTTTGTTTTTACAACTTAAAAATATACTCATTAGGTACAATTTTTGAAAAATAGTATTTATTTTAAAGACTCCATTTAGTGATGCCTAGGGGTATTCAGAGGTTGCTGTCAGATACTCAGAAGTCCCTGAAGTCCTGTTTTTCACATCCTCTATAAAGAATTCAGAGTCAGATGCAGGAGCATATATAGAAAGGGACTGAACAGTCTGTAACTGCTGAATTATGTCTGTGCAAGTGATATTCCTTGGCTAAACATCACAAAGGAAGTGTCATTAGGGGTAGACAAGCCTGAAGTCATATTTTATCTGATTCATCTCTCCCCAATGCTGGACACAGAAGCAAACATGTCTAATATGAATACATTTCAAATCTTAGTGAGAGACTGTCTTCAAAGCAGGAAGAAATTATACATATATCTCTCTCTAGATAGATACAGAGACACACACATCATTGCTTTAAAAACAGTTGCCTTTAATAAAGAGGTGACTAGATGAACAGGGACTCCAAAGGCTTTCTGGCAGAGTTCAGGTCTCCCCAGAAACTGACATTCTCAAGGACTTTGGAGATTTCAAAATTCTTTCGAAGATTATCTCACTGGACTTCTAGAGCCACCCCACTGGGCAACTAGGAAGAGAACTGTTACCTCCATTTTACAAACGAGGAGACTGAGGCGCACAGCACTCAGGTTACTAGTCATATGGCCAGGCAGGGGCTCCAGCCAGGATCATTATTCATTCCACAGCACCATTCTGCAAGATTCTGTACCTGAAAAATAACTGGAAAGGCCTGCCAGAACCCTGACTACAGCCTGCACTTACTTACAGATTTTGAGTGAATTTAAACAATCACAACTGTGAGAACTCTAGCCCTGCAGTGTTCAAACGCCCCACCACAAGCTGTGAGATGCTTCTGTCAAAAGTTGCTCTCAGAATGCAAAAATAAAAAATGCGAGGAATGCAGATCCCACATACAAAATGAACACTGTGTGTTCTCTAAATAAAATGTCAACTTAATGATTTAGAAGGACTTCAAATATGAGAAACCAACCCTCTTCTCTTCTCTCTCCTATCCCCAGAACTCCTGGACAACCTGAATTTATCACTGGTCTCTCATACTTAACTCTGACACGGTACCACCAGGCTGTAACTCACAGCATTAACGGCCACCCCTGTGCTCCCTGACACAGCTACCCATACATCTCCACTGGCAGGGTTTTAAATTATGATGCTGCTTACCGGAGAGCGGGATGCAAATCAGATGTCTGAATGCTCTGGTGTTTAAAAACTGAATTAGTTCTCAGAGCAAGAAGAGGCCGACAGTCACTCTGGGTATTTACTTTTAGTATCTCAATGGCACCCTCTCCTCCCAGGCCAATACCAACCTGCTGACTAAATCTAGAAACTGCCAAGTGATCTAGTTAGGTTTTCAATCGCAAACACATTTTACTGAGATATATGAGGCTATGGTTATTTCTGAAGGCTCGGAAGAGCCTTTCTACATCACATATTCGCCTCTTCCAGAGGTCAGTTTTATCCTCTTCTTCCTTCTCCTCCCTTTCTGGGCTAACACAAGGGGGCTCCCGTAGGTTTGGGAAGGGGTGGACGCTCATCTAGGACAGGTGAGACTCAATGAGGAGTGTGACTCTGATTTCCTGATTGCATTCTGAGACTCATGATGTTGGAGACATCAATCCCCATTACATTACTTACTCTTAAATTTTTTAAATTTTAGCCAATTCTCCTGAAGAAGTGAAAAACATTATCCACCCTTGATGTGTGACAAGAAAAAAGGAGGCGGTGTCAGATTCTTTACATACATTAAGAAACTCTGAGTGGAAAAGAGAAGAAACAGGAGGTGAGAGTGAGATCTGTGAGCTGGGAAATGGACTCCCTGGTTTATAGGGAAGCTCACAAGCACCTCAGTCACCTTCTTTGCTGGGCCTTAAATCAGGGCTGTTGGACAGACTGGCTGCAGGGGTTCCTTGGGAACCTGTGGCTCCCATATTTTCAGAGAATGCAGTAACTAGAGCCAGTGGGGCAAGGCAGGTTGTGGAGAGCAGGAAGCAGTCAAGGGGGTATCCTTATGAATGCCCCAGTGTTTGTGTCTGGTCACACCTGGAGAAAGCCCTGTGCCTTTGTTTGCGAAGCCCGGGCCAAACTCAGTTCGACGGTGGAGGAGCCTGGCATGCTGCAAGGTCCCAATGGGCGAGAAGCCTGTTTTGAGGAGAGAACGCCATATCCTAACTTTCCTCCTGAGGCTCGGTTTACAACTCTGTCTCCATTCCTTGTTAGAGTTCATAAAACCACGTCCACAATCCCCCTTTTTTTTTTTTTTTAACACAGAGCAGGGATATTTCTTTTCCTAATAAGAACATATAGAAATGAAATATAATTCCCTCAAGGCAGAAGACAGTGAGATAAAATTTCAAATACTTTTAAATGGATACTCAGAAATCATCAAATGATATTACCAAAAAGAAAAGACGGGTACTCTGGATTAGATTAGCCAAAAAATAAAAAGTCCCCAGGATGGCTTCAGATGCTGTGCATCAATGCATATTCCTTTCAACAGTTATTTGTGTGGTGCTCACAGCAGGCTGTAGAGGCTCATGCTCTAGCACCAGCTGCTAGCTGAGTGAGTGTCAGTGGTCAGTGAGCAATACTCTGCTGTCCGTTATGTGTTTACGTGTCACCATCCAAACCATTGGAGATATAAAGATAATTAGACACAAACCTTGCCTCCATGGTACTTACAATCCCAAAGAGGCAGACAAGTGTATGATAAAGATCACAACACCGTAGCAAGTGCAGCAGAAACCCGAGGTGGCTGTGACTGAACTTTGTCTAGAAAGTCTAGAGTGATGTTAAAGAAGACTTAACTTTTGCTCAATGTATTACAAGATGAATGGTTTACCACAATGCTGGAAGAGAGGACGCTGCAAATGAAGACCAGTATGGACAGAAGCAATGGAGGTGTAAGGCTGCTGGTAAGTCAAGTCTTAACTAAAAACTGAGGATGGAGGAATCTGTGTTTGGATTAACATGATGTAGAAGACTCAGATAAGCTTGCCTCCCAAGCAGGAATGAGGATGAGAGCCCTGAAAGGTGGAAATAAAGAAGCCAACTATGTCATGTGTGTTTGTGGGGGGCTGGGAGGAGTGTAAATGTCAAATCCCCCAACCAGTTTCTCTAAAATTCTTCTATAACGTGGTCACGAGGATTGGTTCCCAATTAGCAAGCTGTGTCTAGTTATCAAGAGTCACCATGAAGGTGAGTTCAATATGGCTTGAAGCTTAGACCATGTTGGGTTGGATGGATAAGAGTTATTAACAGGACAGGAAGCTGAAAAGACAAATTGAGATCAGACTATGAAGAACTCTGGGTACCATAGTGGAATAAGACTTTTTATTCTGTAGAATAATAGGATAAAAGAGACTTCTAAGAAAAAAAAATGGCATCTCTTGGTCTCTGTTTCCATGCCTTTAGTAAAGCTGAGATGAATGGACTAGACTATTTCCAAAATTATTCCCTGCAAATAAATGAACCCCCACATTCTACTCCTGTCTCCTATGAGCCTCTAATTCTGTCTCAAATTTATTCTTCACAATTTTCTGCCCTATAAAATAATTTTCCTGCTCACCTTTAAGTCAGTACCATCAATTAAAATATAAATGAAAATGTATTTTCTTGTATCTGGTGACATGCTTTGGCTCTGTGTCCCCACCCAAATCTCATGTTGAACTGTAATTCCCAATGTTGGGGGAGGCACCTTATGGGAGGTGACTTGATTATGGAAGCAGATTTCCCCCATGCTGTTCCTGTGGTAGTGAGTTCTCATAACATACGATGGTTTAAAAATGTGTGGCACTTCCCTCCTCGCTCTCTTTCTCTCCTGCCACCATGTGAAGAAGGTGCTTGCTTCCCCTTCGCCTTCCGCCATGATTGTAAGTCTCCTGAGGCCTTCCTGTTAAGCCTGTGGAACTGTGAGTCAATCAAACCTCTTTTCTTCATAAATTACCCAGTCTCAGGTAGTTCTTTATAGCAGAGTGAGAAATATAGCAGAGTGGTAAATAACAAATGCAGAAAAATTCAAGAACTCCATTAGTATTTGATGGTCATTGACATAAGTCTTGCTAATTTTCTAAATTTAAAGTCTCATAATGTAGGATTGGTATAGACTATAAAATGCCATTATTTGCATGTGCTCCTTTTAAAGGAAGAGAGGCATTCATTGGAACAGAAAAAGCAGGGATGACATACCAAGAGATTCTCTGGTTTGATGTCTCTGTGCACGATGCTGAGGCCATGGAGATACCTGAGGGCATTGGCTAAGTTGTACACCATGGCACTGCCATCTCTCTCAGTGTACTTGGTCGACGAAGTAATTGCATCAAAGAGATCTCCACCCTAAACGATACATAAAAGAACATATCAAAGCATCAACAGTGCAATCCTATGAAGGTAAGAAAGATGGCTCATTGGCATAAAGCAGAGAATGACACAAGTGCCACTAAAATCGGCGATTATAAATAATGAAAGTTATGAGGTAGCAATACACTTTTCTGATTAGGTCCTTCAAGGATGTTGTAAATTGTGGGACTAGGCACCAAGAAAATCTCTCTATCCTCTTACTTTGACCAATTCCATCACCAGAAAGAGCTCAGTTGCTGTTTCCATCTCCTCGACCAGCATAATGATATTGGGATGTTTCACTCGGCGCAGTATTGACACTTCATTCTCAATCAGGTGTTCCTGTCAAATGAACGGTATAGAGAGGAGATCAGAAATCACAGAACCCTCTGCTCTCGAAGGCCTGGAGGACAGCAAAACAAACACAGCCTGTGGATCTGATGCCAAAGAAAGCATTGCTCTTGGCACAAAGACAACTAAACCTGACCTAATTGTCCCTGTAGGGACAGGGTCAGTGTGAACATATTATTGACATTACCAAAAAGATACAGACTCCTAAACATCCCCCAAAAGGCTCCATGGTGCTTCTGTGGTGTATTAAGCATACTGTCTTCTCGCTTGTCATTATTTCTAACACCTTAAGAGGTTGTGATGCTATGAAAGCTTCAGCACACAGCTCTGTGCTTTGTAATTCAGCCAGAGCCACTTTTTGATTTCGGTATACACTCACAAATAAAGACTAGGCATATAAGAAAACTTGGCATGCTTATGAAATCTAACTTCTGGCATTAAGCATTTTTAGTTTTTAAACTGTTACTAACATGAATTTGAATTTCATGCTGAAATTTATGAAAAAAAGAACTTTCTTCCTCTATGACTGGATATGAAATCATTCACCAGATGGATGTTCTTTAACATCTTGTATTTCAGAAATCTGAAAACATACAGAACCACGGGGACCACTATTCTCATTTTAGCTCTAATCACTCTCCTCTGAAAACACCACCTGATTATCAATCCTGGTGAGTAACACAGTTGGGATCAGCACTGTAGCAAAATGTTTACTTACAGAATTAACGAATTATTCTTAATACGTCAACCCATGAATCATGAACAATGATTGCTGTGTTTTAAATGAGACATTAAGACCTCTCAACATGTGTACATGTATTTTTACACATGGATGCATGAAGCTAAGAGCCACCTCACCCTTTTGGACAATAGCTGGAAATAGAAATTATAACAAATGAATAAATAACATGTGGAGAAAAATCTGTTTCAAGCTCCTGCACATGGTAGGTTGTGTTTCTTGAGCACTGAATGCACTGTGCTTGTCCAAGCAGTCACTCAATAAATCTTAGCGAGTGACAGTGCAAATTTGCTAAACAGAAGTATGGGAAAGAAAGAAACCAACATTTACTAGGAATCTAGTCACTGTTTGTTAGTAGCTGTGTAAGGTACTTGTGTAATGTTTGAACACTTTATCCTTGGAAACAGTCACTGGAGGTTGAATGTAAACTAGGTTTCTGACATCCAAGCCCATCTTTCTTATACACACATTATCACCTTCCAAAGGGGAAGAATTCAGTAAATGCCAAGTTGGAATTCTTCAAAATAAAAATTATAGCTGTAAGCTGAAAATATTTAATTCCTTAAAAAGATAAGAGCATGCAGTAGCACCACACTGATTTGGGGGTTAAGAATCACACCAGGGTTTGTGCAAGGAGGAGAATCTATGCTTCTTTTAATGAACAGGGCTAGGAAGTCTTTGACTGGCTCAGGACTCAACAAACGCTTCAAAATCTGAAGAATGGTGTTTCTTAGACCCCAGTAAACCACAGCTGGGAAGTCAAGAACAGGGTCTCCTATCTGTCTCCAAGCCCATCTGTCTAAGTTACAGAGCAGCAGACAGAGCCCCGTTTCCTCCCTTGGGAAGCAGCTGTACAGCCAGCCCCTCATGGTTGCAAAGACAAAAGACTTGGCAAACCCTCTCCATTGATTCACATATTTTGAAGCTTTTGGATCATCTGCACCAAGCATATCCTCAATCACACTAAAAAGCAGGGTTAGATACACTTTTGTGAACATGTATAAGCAAGCACATCAATTTATTTCCCTCCGTGTGAAGCAAAGACAACAGTTGCTACTGTCATTAAATAGGTTTTTTATTTTAAAGCTAAATGAATCTATCACTTCAATTCTCCTTCCTGCTCCTCATTTTACCCAAAGTTAGAAGAGTCTATATATTCGCCTCTCCCTGGGGGCTGTGTTTGTGTTGCTAATTTAGTGATATCTGTAAGATAATCCCCTCACCAGTACCCCAAGAATCTCTCTCAAATTGAAGTAAATAAGATATCTACCACATAAGGAGACTACAACTCCCAAAAGTTATTATCTTTTTCAATAAAAGGCACAACAGAAGGTCTTCTGGGATACATTGTGGAACTTCTCCTAAGGGCCATCAGCAGTGTTACCTTTCAAATACTGCAGCAACATTTCCTCCACCACTTATTAGCCTACTGAATTCTACTTGACAATGGCTAATATTCTAAGCACAGAGTGAATGTTTTTGTTAAAACATGGGAGCTGTTAGCCTTTCTCAACCTCTTGCTGTCCCTGTAAAATTGTCTATGAAGGAACAATCCACTTTTGAAACTAATCATCATCAGAAGCAAAATAAAGTACTGCATAAAAATCGTTACAAACGTTATCTATTTCTTGTGCAACCTGTATGTAGTCTTTGTTTCTAATATGTAAAAAATGCTCTCTAGACTAAATTTTCCAAGAGAATATTTCTAAATATAATATGAATATCTCTTTTGTCTTGAGCCATACTGAACTTACATTATTCAATTATCTACCATTATATATGTTAAGTGATTCATGATTCTAACTCCAAATAATTTACATATGAATCATTTCATGGCAGTGTTCCACAGTTCTGAGTGAGAGTAAATGACAAAACTGCTAACTTGGCAAAGGACACTGCCTTATCTTTGGACATGGTGATTTTTAACGTACAAAGAGAGAGGAATGGGGGGGTATAATAGGAGACAAAACAACTCTCTCAAACCAGACTAATCATCTTGTCTCAACCCATCCCAGCCCATAAAGCAGTCCTTTCCTCTGTGTTCTCCATCTTATTCAACAAACCTGGCTGTCCCAAGCAGAAACAGGAATTGCACCGATTCCTCCTTTCGGGTGGATAATATACCCACAATCACCAATGTCTGCCCATTTACCTCCTTGGTGGCCTCTGAATCCATCCATTCATCCATTCAGTTCTCTCTGTTCCTCTTGCCAATCCCTTACCTAGACTTCTAGGCATTTGCACAGGTAGTTTTCTTTTTTTGAGAAGAGGCTCACTCTGTCACCCAAGCTGGAATGCAGTGGTGTGATCCCAGCTCACTGCAACCTCAACCTCCCAGGCTCAAGCAATCTTCCCGCCTCAGCCTCCTGAGTAGCTGGGACCACAGGTGTGCACCCAGTTAATTATTTTTTTGCAGAAATGGGGTCTCACTATATTGCCAGGGCTGGTCTCGAACTCCTGGGCTCAAGGAATCCTCCCACCTCAGCCTCCCAAAGTGCTGGGATTACAGGCATGAGCCACCATTCCAGCCATAGTTTTTTTTTTTGTTTTTTTTTTGAGACGGAGTCTCGCTCTGTTGCCCAGGCCGGACTGCGGACTGCAGTGGCGCAATCTCGGCTCACTGCAAGCTCCGCTTCCCGGGTTCACGCCATTCTCCTGCCTCAGCCTCCCGAGTAGCTGGGACTACAGGCGCCCGCCACCGCGCCTGGCTAATTTTTTGTATTTTTAGTAGAGACGGGGTTTCACCTTGTTAGCCAGGATGGTCTCGATCTCCTGACCTCATGATCCACCCGCCTCGGCCTCCCAAAGTGCTGGGATTACAGGCGTGAGCCACCGCGCCCGGCCCCAGCCATAGTTTTATCTGGAACTTTCTTTATCTACTTCTTGGCAAACTCCTATATACTTCTCGGGACCAGATTAGATCTCTCCTCTTCTAAGTCACCTCCCCTGCTCACTCACAGCTGGGTCAGGTAGTCCTCTCACCTGCTCTCATAGCCCCGAATCACAGCTCTCATCCCACCATCTTTCAACTGTTTGTGTGCTGGTCTCTAACCCTCTGGAACTGAGAGCTTGTGGAGGTTTTGGTTACCTCACTCTCCAGCAACTAGCACAGTTACTAACAAACAGTAGGTACCAAAGTGTTCACGTGAAGGAGTAGACACATCACGCACTGTGCTGCCCACAATGGCTTCACAGCTGGTGTCTGTGTTGCTCGGAGCACACTGCTGAGGAGAAAGTGGTGAGAGAGAGAAAATGTACAAATCACCACGTGATTTCTGTGATAAATATACGCAACAGACTGAATAATGGATACACAAAGACATCAAGTCCTAATCCCTGCAACTTGCAAATATTACCTTACTTGGGAAAAGAGTTCTGCAGATGTGATGAAGGGTTCTGCAGTGGAGAGATAACCCTGGATTGTGGCGGGGAGAGGGTTAAATGCCACTACAAATGTTCCTAGAGAAGCACAGGGAAGTTTCACACAGACAGAGAAGAAGGCAGCGTGAAGACGGAGGCAGAGACTGGTGGGATATGATCACAACCCAAGAATACTGCTGGTCACTGGATGCTTGCAGGCAAGGAACAGATTCTCCCCAAAACCCCCAAAGGAAGCATGGATTTCGGACTCTCAGCCTCCTGAACTGTGAAGAGAGTAATTTTTAGGTGTTTTAAGCCACCAAGTTTGTGGTAATTTATTCCCACAGCCTGGGGAAACGAATACTTCCAAATACACTTCTGGATTTATGTCCTGCCTGGGCCCATGTAGATGATGAATGCAAAACTGTATACAGTAGGAAGACAAAGAAGGACCACTTCTAAGCACCAGAACAGAAAGCTCAGAGCTTTGTACACTGTGGGAATTCAATAGATATTTATTTAGCATGAAAGAGAATATTAGAACTGGAAGAATTCTTAAATTTATAAATACCATAGCATTCTCAAAAGCCTCTATAAATCTGGCCCCAACGCAGCTCTTGTAATAATCTCCTACTTAGAAGGGCCCAACGTGCTTTCTGTCCTCTGGGCCTTTGCTCAGACTGTTCTCACCACCTGGTAGACCGCTCTTTGATTGCTGCCTACTGAAACCCTCCCTACCCACTGTTCCTGCTCCAGCCCAAATGCTTCTTCCTCTATAGCATCTTCACTGGTCACCTACTTCTCTCCCACGTGCTTCCCCTGAACTCCAACATTCTTTGCAGAACTGGTATTAATTTATACATCACCCTATTCTTAGCACAGTGTCTTGCAGACAGAATATGCACCAAAATTTAGGTGAATACATGAATCTAACAATGCCTGTGTATATTAAGGATGAACAAACAGAAGGTGAGGGAGAGTAAGAATGTTTCCCAAGTTTGTATTACCTGAAGAAATGAATAAATTGAACTTAGAGAGGGAACACAGTAGATCAGCCAATGTACAGGCTGTGTAACCAAACAGCCCAAAATTCCAGTCACAGGTCAGTCTCTGTGTGACTTTTTTGGAAGCTATTTAATCTGAGTCTGTTTCCTTATCTGTAAAACTGGCGCATCTGTTTTGCAAGTCATTAAAGGTAATGTGCAAAGTTCCTATATATCCAAGCCTGGATAAATAATACATTTTAACAAATAGCAGATATTATTTTCAGCATTATTAATTTTCTGTATATAGCAGAGGTGGCCAACACTCCAAAACAGTGACTGAATACCACCCCCTCAAATTAACAAAAATTCTCTATATAATTTTTTTCTAAAAATAAAATGTAATGGGAAAAATCAACTTATTTGTAACTAATCAAGTTTTAAAATTATAATTTTGTATAGTCTTAATGTGGAAATAGTTGTTTAGATAAGCAAAATGTAAAAGTGGAAAAATATTTGATCATGCATTATAAAAATAGAATGACATTCACAGACTAGAAAAAATAAGATTCAAATGTTAGAACTGACTTATCCATTTGCCTCAGCCCTTAGTGTAAATTTTTTGCATACAAAGACCTTTTTTTTCCAACCATGGAAACAGCTGTTTAAATTTTAATCACGTAAACCATATCCTTACCATAGCACCTTTTTATTTTTTTTTTACTGTTTTGAAAAAATTTTTAATGTAGTTCTACAGAACCTGGCTCACCAAATTATGATACGTTCTGCTTAAATCACACACCACCACATCGAAAGCAGAACCCTTACATGTATGGAGAAAAGGCTATTACAGTGAAAAACATTAGTAATATCGCTAGAACAATAAGTAAAAGCATATCAAATTATTTAAAGAAAATTAAGCAAAAGAAAACCTTATTCAAAGGAAAAGGGGCATTTTGCACAGTCTATGCAGTCTATGCTTCAGTAATTATCACAGTGTGGTTAAAAAAAAAAAAAAAAGTAAATGACAAATTTGCCTCCTGGATTTTCCATTCTGGAGTTCTGAGAAGATTTTTCTAAACCATTCGAGCAGAATATTTTACATTTCCTGTTAAAAATACACTATTTTGTAGAAGTCCAATGAAGACCAGTTTAGGGGTTCCATAACTATAAAATGACAACTATCAGATCAAATCCTGCTAATTATAAATTCTAAACTCCTCTGGCATATTAATAATGTTAGCAGTTAACATGTGTTGAATTCTTATTATATACTAGCACTTCTCTGTTTTCCATGGCTTAATTCAACCAATTTTCACAATAATCTTATGTTCTAGGTGTCGATAATAACCACATTTTAAAGGAAGAAATAGAGGGGTTAAATAAATTTTCCAAGAAGAGGCAGGGCCAGGAATACACTTTATAGAATCTGGCTCTAGAGCAGCAGTGTCCAGCATAAATATACACCATGATCCATATACGTAATTCTAACCAAGAACCACATTAAAAAGCAAGGTTTTTAAAATTATAACTTAATATATCCAAATATTTTCATTTCAACATGTGATCATATACAAAGATATTAATGAGGTATTTCACATTCTTTTTTTAGTACTAAGTCTTCAAAATCTGGTGTGTATTTTATACTTAGCAGCCTATTTCAATCCAGACTCGCTACATTCAAGTGCTTTGTAGCTGTACGTGACTGGTAGCTCTGGTGTTGAACGATGTAGCTCTACAGCTTGTTCTCTTAATTGATGTGTTACCACAATGGAATCTAAAAAGGTCTTTGTCATTGCTGCAACGGAATATTTATTTTTTCAAACATAGTTAAAGTATCAGTAACTGCAGCAGCATTTTATTGGTTGATCTTTTCCCAACCCCAGTTAGAGAGTGGGACAGAAGGAAAAAAGTTTATCTTATTGAGGAGATGATTCTTCACAGCATTTCTGCTCATGATGCATCAGCTTCTGTTCCAAACTATCTTTCCAAGGATGTTTGTCCAGGAAACACCCTTGGAACACAAAGATGAGTCTCCCTTACGGGCAAACGGCAGATGTGTTTCCTGACCAGGATAATGAAAATAATATTCTCCTCTGAGGCAAAGACTGGGCAGCATTGCTAGCACCTCCTCCTAAGACTGAGGGTTTCCTAAGCTCAGAGTTCCCCAGCTATGACATAAACCCACTGTGTGTAAATCATCCAGCTGGGCTCCTCAGCCTCACCACTATGGGACTTGGGAGTTAAGGGGAACCAATGCAAGCATGAAGCTCATGCTACCTGCTGTGTCAGGAATAACAAATCCTTTTGTCTCTGACTCAGAAATCTTGTGTTCTGCTGGCCTGTATGAAGCTGGAAGGCTTTGTTAGCTTGCAAGTAAAGTCCCAGGTCCCTCAGAGTTCTTGACGCACCTTTTGAGTATTGTTGGGTGTTAAAATAGGTATCTCCCAGAGAAAAGAATCTACGTTTTCTAGTTAGGACCAAGATCAAATCAATTTACTGTTTTAGGATTAAAGTTTCTGAAAAATAGCAGGAATAAAACCGCTTAACTGTTTTTCCCACTATTACTGGTCTCTACTCCTGCTGTGATAGTTGTGTCAAGTCCCCACTTAAATTCCTTCATCACAGTAAACACCTCACCAAGTTACTCTAGTTTCTTTCAGAACTAGGGGTTATGCATACTATACCTTTCCACAACATTTGGCTTTGTCTATAATCTTTAGGGCAAACTCCTTTCCAGTGGACCTATGGAATAATCAGAGGAAGACCATTTAAAGACATAAATTAAATACCATCATTCCTGTTTTCTTTCTTTTTTATACTTTAATTTTTTTTTTTTTTGTAGAGATGAGATCTCATTATGTTGCCCAGGTTGGTCTTGAACTCCTGGGCTCAACTGATCCTCCTGTCTCAGCCTCCCAAAGTGTTGGGATTACAGGCGTGAGCCACCACACCTGGCCCATTCCTGTTGTATTCTACAGCACAGACCCAGGAAGGAAAAACTTGGCTCTTTCTCTGTGCATTAAAGAAAATATCTAGTGGAGTCAGGGGACAAAGGTACCCAAAAAATTAAAAACAAAAACAAAGCCATACTGTATGTTAATTAAATATTCTTTCATAAATATTAACTATAATATTAAGAAACTCATATTTAAAGTATTTCAATTCTGTTACATCAGGGAGAGGCAGGAAATAGTTTTTCTATATGTAAATCTCAAAATAGTTCTCTTAGGAGACAGAATAAAGTTTTAAAAAACCAAATTAACAGAAAATTTTATTATCAATATATTTTTACATTAGTCCATTAACAACATTAGCCCATAATTCAAAAGTGAAAAGTCCCCTGACTTTCATTATTTCTCAGCCAAAACTTCAGCTAGGATCTGATCTGGTACCAAGTTAGTCACATCTTTAAATGTTCTTTCCTGGCACTAGAGAGATCATTCGCATGGATATAAGAATCTTGATGTTATTTATTTATTTATTTATTTATTTATTTATTGAGAGAGAGTCTTGCTCTGTCAGCCAGGCTGGAGTGCAATGGCGCAATCTTGGCTCACTGCATCCTCCGCCTCCCAGGTTCAAGCAATTCTGTCGCCTCAGCCTCCCAAGGAGCTGGGATTACAGGCACCTGCCAACACCACTGGGCTAATTTTTGTATTTTTAGTAGAGATGGGTTTCACCATGTTGGCCAGGCTGGTCTTGAACTCCTGACCTCAGGTGATTCTCCCGCCTCGGCCTCCCAAAGTGCTGGGATTACAGGCGTGAGCCACTGTGTCCAGCCATTATTTAATTTTTAATCACCTTTAAAATAATTTAATTTTAACATGCCAAAAATGTCTTTGAGTATAGAAAAAGCATTCAATAAAGAACACCACAGTACTCATAGAATACACTTGTTATCTCAAGTGCAGCTGGATTTGCCAGGTGGTTGTAGTACACACTCATGAGGCCTGGCTTGGAAGAATCACTTGTCCTTAAATTGTTCTCCCTATAACAAAAACTAAATCCTGCCTCAGATTTCTGACTAGTCTTTAAAAGTCATACTTTAGATGCTTACTTTGTTACTTAGGTGGCAGTCTGTGTATAAGAACTGGGTAAAAGGACTCAGAGAACAAGGCATTATCTTGTGTACCAATATAAGGAGTACTAAAGCTTCACTGGAGATGTAACAAAACAGAAAAACTGTAGTTACCAAAACTTTCTGGAAAAATCTCCAGAAATGATAAAAATTATCACTTAGAATGGGAAGGATAGCAGCCTATAAACACCAAGACTCTAATCTGAACCAAGACTCTGAGTCTTTTCTGGTTTGAATATTGTTTATAAAAAATCTGGAATAGGCAAAAGTAGGCTGATTGTGATTTTTTTTTTTTTTTTGAGACACAGTCTTGGTCTGTTGCCCAGGCTGAAGTGCAATGGCACGATCTCGGCTCACCGCAACCTCTGCCTTCCAGCTTCAAGTGATTCTCGTGCCTCAGCTTCCCGAGTAGCTGGGACTTCAGGCGTGTGCCACCCAACCTGGAATTTTTTTTGTTTTTTTTTTTGTTTGTCTTGTTTTTTGTAGAGATGGGGTTTCACCATGGTGGCTGGGCTGGTCTTGAACTCCTGGCCTCATGTAATCCACACACCTCAGCCTCCCAAAGTGCTGGGATTACAGGTGTGAGCTAGCCACCAGGCCTGGCCTGATTGTGATCTTAAACAGAGTCAGAGCTCATATGTCCTGAACTACTGGAATATTCCATTAAGTATTAACTGAGAGGGAGGATTGCTGTAGGGATTAAGCGATTTAATACAAGTACAGACTGAGAACAATGCCTGACACCGGTAAATATAGGAGATGTTCTTAAAAATGACTTATTCTTCTCATTCCTCTCTGGCTCATGATGAGACCTTATATATATCTCATCCCAAATGCACATAAAACAGTTTTATACTCTATGTATATACATAATATTTTTTTCCTGTGGGCATGCAAAATGGCTGATCCCTGCTGGATACAGTCACTCATGCCTGTAATTCCAGCACTTCAGTAGGCCAAGACAGGAGGACTGTTTGAAGCAAGGAGCCTAGGACCAGCCTGGCAACAAAGCAAGACCCTGTCTCTATTAAAAATTTAAAAATTAGCTGGGAGGCTGAGGTGGGAGAATCACTGGCACCCTGCAGATTGAGGCTGCAGTGAACTATGATGGTGCCACTGCACTCTAGCCTGGGTAACAGAGTGAGACCCTGCCTTTTTTTTAAATAAATAAATAAATAAATAAATAAACAAACAAACAAACAACAAAAGGAAAGAAATGGCTGGTCCCAAGGGCAGACTCAGGGAAAATGAAAGAGACTTTCCAGAAGGGCCTTTTTAAAATTAAGAATAAACTCCAAGGAAAACTGTATCTGTAGATGATACAGTTTTCATTATTTATCATTTTCATTATTCATTAATTATCCTCACTGTCCACTCACCTGTCTATACACTCTTTGACTACTGCAAAATTGCCATCACCAATGACCTTTCCAATTTTGTATTTCTCAAGAAGAGTTGATGATTCAGAGCATCTGTTTCCATTCACACCTGCAAAAAGGATAAATGCAAATTCTAAAGAAAACATCAGCATTTTATACAGATTCCTACATATTTGTAAAATAGTAAACTGCGATGCATTTATTTCTAAATCTATGGTGAAACTAAATAAAATATCTGCACACATTTCCTGAATAGAACACCTGAATCACCAATTTCCTTTTAACTTCGTTGGTTGAAATCAGAAACCTATAATCAATAAACCTAACAAATCCCTGAGATATCAGGTGAAATAAGTGATTAGCCTTAGGTAAAAAGGATATTTCACTAAAACTTATCCAAACTTTTTTGTCGATGTTCAAGAAAGGGGCAGGGGATATAAGATGATAGAAAAAGAAAAAAAAAAAAAACAAAGAAAGGAGAAGAGGATGGTGGTGGGAATTTAATCTTCAAAATGTCCAAGATTTCTCTTCAACATTTTCTAGTAGAGAAAATTCTACCCAGATAAGATAGATGCCTTGTTAAGGCTAATTCCTGGCTCAAAGCTTTCTCAAAAAGGTATGTGGGGGAAGGGTTAAGATCTGCCCACTTCTCACTACATGTCCCAGTGTCCAGCACACAGAAGACACCAAATCAAGAAAACACAGTTTTGTTATCTAATTGAGAGAAAGGAAATATATTTAGAAGTTGTGATCAGATCACCACAAAAATAAAAGAAGCCCAAGTCTAAAATCTGAAGCTTCAATAACCTAGTTAATGACAATGAGATTTTTCTTTATCTTGAAGTAACCCCCATCCCCGCCTCTTACTAAGGCCAAAGGGGCTGACAGGTGATGTGATCACATCCCTCTTTAGGAAGATCGTAATTTAGCACAAGTGAGTTTTAGGTGAGCACCAAGTCCCCATGCATGATTTCCTTTATCAAAGTAATGATCAGACTGAGAACTACCTTCAGGACTTATGCAACGGTCAAGCTCAGGTCCACCGTTTACATTGGAAGAAGATCTGCCATGAGCAGAAATCTGCTGAAAGAGGAGAATGACCATTATTTATCAGGATAATTTACAAATCCCTAGCTAACTAATCCGTTGACACACAAAATGCTTACAGAATGTAAAAATGTGTCACAGAAACCGAGGAGGCGTTCCCTTTCTTCTCATCTCACCTCTCTCCTTATGCACATCACATCAGTGCATTTCTTCCTTAGATATTTCATTCAGATTAGACATAAGAAAAATCATCAGTTACCTTTTTTTGAAATTATGTTATTTTTTACTTCCATAAAAGGAATCAAAAGACTCTATGGCATGATAGCTGGATAAGATAGTTATTAGTGGCACAATAAGGCTTAGAACTATAGATAATTCTAATGGTTCCAGGCTAACCATGTGACTCCTAGGAGTTTAATCATTTTATTTCCTCATGATAAATGACAACTGATGGACAACTGCAATTTTTCAAAATTTAATTTTTTTGTTGTTCTGTTTAATTTTCAGCTGCTAAAGTTGAAGGCAACTCCAAATCGACAGCACTCTATGGCAGAATGTTTAAAAAGCTACAGTGTTTAAAAACAAGGTCCAGAGAAGGGACATAAAAGGAAAGCCTAAAAGAAAATCATACCATTCTCTATTCCATTCCCCACCCACGGCCACCACCCTGGTCCAAGTCCTTCTCCGGCTTCACTTGGCATTGCATCAAAGGCCTCTTTAGTCACTCTCAGTCTCTCCCATTCCACATAGTATTGCCAGAGAAATTTTTCCTAAGAGTAGCTGGGATATCACCTCCAGGATTCAAAAACCCCAGTGTGTCTTTGTTACCAACATAATAACTCCAAAATCTTCAGCATGGCATTCGGGCCATGATCTGTCCCCCTACCTACTTGTCTAATGTGTTTCCCACCACTTGTTCTGATGCGTTTTATACTTACAATAATTCAATTTGCTTTTATCTTTCAAAAGTTACTTAAACTTTCCAAGTCTTCATTTTCTCCCCTAAAAATGGAGGTAGTAACAGTGCCCAACTCAAAGATTTGCTAGAGAATAAAAATTAGCTTATCCCTGTAAAATCACTTTGTCTCTGACACGTAACACTAACTCAATATTAGTTTATCAGTGCCTTTTCTTAAATCATCTAGCACAGAACCTTGAAATGAGTGATTAAGAATGTGGGCTTGGTGCGGTGGTGCACACCTATAATCCCAGCACTTTGGGAGGCCGTGACGGGTGGATCACCTGAGGTGAAGAGTTTGAGACCAGCCTGACCAACATGGTGAGACCCCGTCTCTACTGAAAATACAAAATCGCCCAGGCGTGGTGACACATGACTGTAATCCCAGCTACCTGGGAGGCATAAGAATCGCTTGAACTGGGAGGTGGAGGTTGCAGTGAGCTGAGATCGTACCACTGTGCTCCAGCATAGGCAACAAGAGCGAAACTCCTTCTTAAAAAAAAAAAAAAAAAAAAAAAAAAAGAATGTTTGTGAACTGTTGAATGTAAATGGCCATAAGAGACCTTTTGCTAAATAAAAGACAGGGTCTCATTCTGTTGCCCAGGCTGGAGTGCAGTGATGCAATCTTGGCTCACTGCAATCTCCACCTCCCAGGCTCAAGGGATCCTCCCACCTCAGTCTCCCAAGTAGCTGGGACTACAGGTATACGCCATCACACCCAGCTAATTTTTGCATTTTTCGTAGAGACAGGGTCTCACTGTGTTTCCCAGGCTGGTCTCGAACTCCTGGGCTTAAGCCATCTGCCTGCCTCAGCCTCCCAAAGTGCTGGGATTACAGGCGTGCACCACCATTTGGCCTGGCCAGCCAAATTCTTAATAGGAATAAAAATATGAACATGATTTTTCTGGAAAGTTGTATCTCAGAAGATAAAAAGATCTCTGCTAATCACTGCCTGCCCCAGAATAAAGTAACAGGGGAGGTGGAAAATCAATGGTCAGGAAGCATGGTGGACAGTGACCAGTGGACTCACATGTCTTAAATCTCACAGCCCAGGGCAACGCAGCCCCACATGGTCAGGCCACAGGCAGCTGGGTCAGGCATGGTGGGCAGGAACCACCGCCTCTCCCAGCACTTAGGCCTCAGGACTTTGAGCAGAGTGCAGGTCCCCACACTCACAGCTGAGGTCCTAAGACCTGTACCTGGGTCCCTGCTCTCCATGAAGCCTGCTTGTTCATCTGTCCTGGAAGCAGGTAATGGTCCTACAACAAGTCCCTTTCTTGAGCTAATTTGGGTAAGCACTGGTTTACTGCAAGCTGATGTGTTGTCTGAGTGAAGGACACTCATCACATCAGGAGGGGCTGAAACACAGGCATTTCTACTTCAATGTACATTTTCATGTGGATCAGTAACTAATCGAAGTGTTTATCAGTTGAGCTCCTGTGAACCATTGTAATTTTCCCAATGTTTATTTGATTAAACCTTCACTCCCACCCTACCCTGATCCCCTATATAGCTCAGCAATTACAAACCTGGCATATGTTGGGATTTGCGGGTGACATGGAGCAGGGAAAGAGACCAGGAAACAGGACAAGTGATGGAAGCCTGGTCTCCAGTGACTAAAAGAGAGTGGCACCTAGGCTGAAGCCTTGAGCCTCAGAAGGAACAGGGGGCCTCGTTGTGGGGGGAGGGGGGGCGGGGGAGGAGAGAGAGAGCGAGAGAGAGAGCGAGAGTGAGAGCGAGCAACAGCGAGCATGGCATGGGGCCAAGCGAAGGGCCACTTTCAAGTGTACCTAACAAAGCCTCCACTAAACACCAGGAAATGCAGCTTCTTAGCAAACAATAAGGGCAAGGACATTTTTCAAAGCTGTCAAATTAATATTTTTTAAAAGGTGTTAAGCCTCAAGCATTAAAACAAACAATTATGTAGCGTTAACAGGGATGACTTATCCAATTACTTAACCAAATATGTTTGTTTATTTGAAAATAAGCCTTTCCTAAAGAGAAGAAAAAAGCATGAAAAAATAAAGGGGATAGTTTTATTATAGTGCAGCTGAACAGAGAAACATAATTAGACACAGACAATTTTCTTTCTCCCTCTTCACTCCTCAGTAAAATCTACAGCAATGACTTGTGCTGTTTTAAGGGATAAGAAGATGAAGACACATCATTATTACTGCTCAGATGTTTACAACCTTATGAGGAGGGATAGGTGCACCTAAGCTTAATACCTTCAGTGAAACCTCTGCATTTCAGGATAGGTGCTGACGGTTACAAATGACTCTGAAGAGCCGTGAGAGGGAGCCATTTTGCTACAGCACAAATCTGAGCTTGTGTTTGAATCGCTCAGCTAGTGATTCAGTTCATTGGACCTCCCACTAATGAAGCTTGGCTTTCCAGAGGTAGAAGAAAAGCTGAGTATTCAGTAAGATCTCTGGACAGATCACTGGCAACTGTGAAGCATCTATTGTTAAATATAAGGCAAAGCATTCCCAGTGCCCTGAGAGACATGCAGACAAAGAGCAATGAAAACAGAGGAAATAAAGCTGTGACTTTGCAAAATTCTCATCATTTCCTTTGCAAAATGTGTATATTCCCTTGTCTCCTGTAAATGAATTACTCTCTTACTGAAGCAAGAATTGAATTAGTACCAGAGAGATCAAATATGGCATTCAAGATTAAACCCGTCCCATTTCTATTGTCAAACTAACAATTTCTATTAAAATCTCTTAAAATGCTAATGAGCATTCCTGCTTCCATCAGCAACTATGATGCTGAGACAGCACAAAGAAAGTGCCTAGATGCTGTATGCTAGTAGGGTCCTCCTCAACAAAGCATAATGGATGGCAGCATTTACGGTTTTTCAGGATGCCATTCATAATTGCCAACTGGTTCAGAAAGACAGCATTGTATTTAACAGTGGCAAGGGGGCGGGGGATATATTTCCTAATGAGGTCCTGATTCTGCTTGGCCAAGGAGGGAAGGTGACAGAAGAGAACCGTGAAGATGTTGCTGAGTGTCTTCTCTGGGATCTGGTGCCCCTGCACCACCTCGTCACTTCTCTGGCAGCAGTGGCTCCATTTTTATGAATAAGCAAGGAAGGGAAATGTGCAAGAATCCTCTTCTGCTAATAACTTTTTTTTTTGAGACGGAGTCTCACTTTGTCACCCAGGCTGGAGTGTAGCGGCACAATCTCGGCTCACTGCAACCTCCGCCTCCCGGGTTCAAGCGATTCTCCTGCCTCAGCCTCCTGGGTAGCTGAGATTACAAGCACCCGCCACCACGCCCGACTAATTTTTTAAATTTTTGGTAGAGACAGGGTTTCACCATTTTGGCCAGGCTGGTCTCGAACTCCTGACCTCAAGAGATCCCCTGCCTTGGCCTCCCAAAGTGCTGGGATTACAGGCATGAGCCGCTGCACCGAGCTGCTGAGAACTTTTTAAAAAAGACTTGAAAACAGAGCAGAAGATGCTTTACAATGCTCTCAACTGCTAGCATCATTTAAAGGCATTCATGGCTGATGAAGGACATCTGATGATGAGCAACACTCCAGTTTTCTGTTTTTAGCCAGGGAGTTATGTCAGAGGGTCCTATGGTAAACTTCTTTGATAAGCAGATTACCAAAATTTCTTCAAATTTGAAATTTAAGGAGAAATGTTAAGAACTGTTCTCTGTTCTGAAATAGGCAAGTCTCAAAAAAAAGTAGCAAGAGTGGTTACTTACTGCATTATGGCATATTATTGTTGACTTGAGTATAATGCTAGCTACCCTTGTGCTATACTGGTTTTCATCCATGTTCCTGGCTCATTAACTTCCACAGTCCTTGTTATAATGTTGGGATGCTTTAGGCCTCAGAAAACAATCTCTCTGACCTTCTCCTGCCCTCCTTTCACCTGCCTAAAGCAGGACTCTAATCTGACTGCAGTCATAAGACTGTCATTCCAGAGGAGGTCCTGCCCCATACCCTGAAGCCAGGAATGCTCTATAAAGAGGCTAAGAAAAAACAGAACAAACCGGCTTTGCTGGGCTTAGATCATACCCCTTTTTGTCCAGTCATATTTCTACAGGGTTGTCAATCATGCCTATGTAATGAAGCCTCCATAAAAATCCAAAAAGACAGGGTTAGGAACGCTTCTGGATAGCTGAGTATGTGGACGTTTCTGGAGGGTGGCATGCCCAGGGAGGCCATGGAAGCTATGCATGCCTTCCCCCATACCTCGCCCTATGCATATCTTCATCTGTATCCTTTGTAACATAATATCCTTTATAATAAATTAGTAAACACTTCCCTGAGTACAGTGAAGTGTTCAGTGAAATGCAAATTAATCAAACCCAAAGAGGGGTCATGGGAACTCCAACTTGAAGCTGGTCATTCACAAGTTCCAGAGGCCCAGACTTGCCACTGGTGTCTGAAGAAGGGGGTAGTTTTGGGGAATGGGCCCTCAACCTATGGGATCTGATGCTACCTCCAGGTAGATAGCATCAGAATTGAATTGGGAGGACACCCACCTAGTGTCTGCTATAGAACTGATTGTTCACTTGGTGGTGGAACGAAACTCATCCCCCACATTTGGTCACAAAAGTCTTCTTCTGTGCTTATTGTTTTTTTTGGTGTCAGAGCAGAATAAAAACATGGTTTGAGAAAGATTTTCCTTAATATTTCATTTTTTTTAATAAAAGGACAAACTTGAACAGAATCTAGGAAATATTTCTCTGTACTGAGTTGACTTTCTTGAATGCATTTTGGAAAATGGCATCACAATTCAAGTGGTAAATGGTCTATAAGTGTCAAGTCAGAAACATTTTCTTTCTTTTTTTTTTTTTTTTTTTGAGACACTCTGTCACCCAGGGTGGAGTGCAGTGGCACGATCTCTGCTCACTGCAACCTCTGCCTCCCAGGTGCAAGTGATTCTCCTGCCTTGGCCTCCCGAGTAGCTGGGATTACAGGCGTGTGCCACCACGCCTGGCTAATTTTTGTATTTTTAGTAGAGATGGGGTTTCATCATGTTGGCCAGGCTGGTCTTGAACTCTTGACCCCAAGTGATCCACCCACCTTGGCCTCCCAAAGTGCTGAGTTTACAGGTGTGAGCCATCGTGCCCGGCAGGTCAGAAACATTTTCTATGAAAGACCAGAAAGTAATATTTTAGGCTTCATGGGTCACAGGTTCTCTGTGGCAACTCTTTGGCTCTGCTGCTGGAGTATGAAAACGGCCATATATGAACAGATGAGCATGGATATGTTCCAATAACATTTATTCAGAAAAACAGGTGATTGGCTGAATTTGGCCAGCAGGCAAACTCCTGGTGAGCAAGAACTTTCTTAGGAAAGCTTTTCCTCCAAGATAATTCTTGCACTTTTAAACTCTAAAACAGAACAACCTTTAGGATATGGTTGTTGCTATAAAGCAGCCATTCTTTCCTCACATCTTAGAATCACATAGGAAGATTTCAAAAATTCTATTGTCAATCTGAATCCCAAGTTGATTAAAGAATCTCAGGTATCAGGATTTTTTAAAAGGTCTGCAGATGATCCAACATGCAGCCAAGGTTGAGAACATCTGTGGATGAAGTTTCTGGCAGCAATTTTAATTAACTGTTCAGCTACCATAATCTGTGTAAGTTCACTCTGTCACTCTAACCACTGCAAGTCATCTATAGCCAAACAATCTTGTCTTTGTAAGAAAAGGAAGGAGGACACCCACATGGTTTACTGAATCCTACTTTGTACCAAGTCATGAAGTGAGTATTTTGCATTGAATGAGTTAGGTATGGTCATCATCTCCATTGACCTGTGAAGAAATCAGAGCTTAGAGAGGTTATATAACTTGCCCATCACCACAGCAAATGTGGAATCAGAATCCAAACCCAGGGCTGACTCCAGAGCCCAAGAGCTTCTTGGCGATTCTCACACTGTCCTATCCTCTAAGTTTATGAGAAAAGTCCTGCAAGGCTATTGAACCAACTAAAGGAAGTCACCTAATTCTAGACTTGCTGATCAAAATATACACTATGGTATATCTAGAACATGTTTTATGATTATATAACTAGAGTAACATTCCTGTAATTCAGTCATATGATACACAAATTGATAAATTCACAGCCTTTCCTCAAATAGAATTTAAGATAAATTTTTTCTTTAAAAAGGTAACTTCTGAAGTTTACTGAATTTTTTTTTAAAAAAAAATACACTAGATAGTACTTGTAAATAGATTTGCATCATTGGCATTTTTGTGGGTTTTTTCAACATTAGGAACATTGTTTCCACTAACTAGAATAAAATCCAGTGTAAAGTATTATAAATGCTGAATTAGGAATGTATCCAAGAACAGAAACCTTTATTATTTTCATATTGGATTTCTGATAATTTGAAATACTTCAGTATGAGATATGAAAACAATCGGAATCAGCACCCAGAGGGTGGTAACACAGGCTGCATGCTTAGATTTGGTTTCGTTTGGCAAAAACAGTGGCACTTAAGACTTGTGGTTGGTTAACAGTGTTAAATAGAATCCACTGCCTGAACATGAATATGGCTTAAAACAACAGCCATCTCTACAGTCTATCAAAGGGGCAGTGTGGAGCCCAACTTCTGCTTTCCTGTTCTTCCAAATACAGAAACCACCACAGGTGACTACATGGCTTGCCAAAACCAGCAGAGAATCTCATCGCACCCCTCTGAGTAAGCCTTTCGAGTAAGGTGTTGGCTTACTGGATTGTGACCAACAGACAGGTGGTGTGACCATGCCTACTTGCTAAAAATACCTGCATGCTTTCACTGTGAGGTTTCACTGATTTCTAGGATGCCAGGGTGATGAGAGAGGTGTCTGCCTCTTCTGTTATAACTATGGAGGCTACTACAAGCAGCCACAATGACAATCTCTAAGTCTTTAACTCCATCCAGTTACCTATAATGCACTACCAAGAAGAATTTCTGGGCCCACTTTCATGAATAATGGGGCATTTAAGTTTAACACATATGCCAGTTGTATTCAAATGAAATTCTTACAATTGATCCTATTTATACACTGATTTACTTGGTAAACCCTCCCTGCATCCTCAGAAAGATAGGCTTCAGCCCAGGTGAGTCATTTACTTCCCAAGTGCACCAGATTTGACTGAGCAACTACAATGTGCAAATCACTGTCCTCAAAGTGTGAGATGCATTATGACTTATTTTGTTAGGGCACTTCAAAACTGCTTAGCCCCTCTTTTGGTTTTTGTTCTACAAAATCAATTATATGGAAAGATGAAGTCACCATCCATCTCTGGAGTAATGAGAAGTGGTCAGTTTCTTAGTATTGAAGGTTATCAACTAGTCTTAATTACAAAAGAAAAGCCAAAGCTCCAGGGAAAAGCAAAAATGTCTAAGGTCAGCAGCTACTGTGGATTTACATTTCACAGCTTCGAAAAGAAGTGTTCAAGTTCAGAAGGTCGAAGAGTTACATTTTAGCTCTGCCAGTCAGGATGAGATACTACCAGCCCTTTCATCACACTTCACAAATCTGGAAAATCTTTCACCACCAGCAGACCCAGGAGACATCATCAGATAAAATATCAGCACATCAGACAGTTCATAATCTCAAGATGTTGGATAATGTTCCAAATGTACTTTTTTCTTCCTTCTTTCAACCGGCAAGAATGCTCACAGCAGAGAGCCTCCAGGCATACACTTCAGCATCAAAACACGAAACATTTTATCCCTCAGTGTCCACAGATGTGCTGTGACTCTGAAGCCTGAAGTTACTATTGCCTTAAAAGTCTTAAACTGGAACATGAATGATGAATTAAAGTTCAGGGAAATGCTTTCTTCATCCATCTGGTAGCTGATGACACATTTACTACTCTTTATTGCCTATCTGTCCCAAAGAAAATGCTGTGATTTAAGCATAGCAAATATTCCTATGGGAAAAGTTATCAGCTAGATTGAAGAGACTCTGAGGAACTTGCACAGAGGGAACAGAAGATCATAGGTTGGGGTCAAGCAGAAAAATGGAGAATCAGGAAGACGAGCATTAAAAGAAGCAAACGAGGTCCACAGGGGTGGGATTCTAGGATTTGAAGAGAAGGAAAAAGAATGAGTAGGGAGTCAGCAGTCTGACGAACAAAAGGACTGGAAGGAGAACAAAGCAATAAAATTGATGGGGTGAGACTCTGGCAGCCCTCAAAAAAGAGGATGGACAGGAAGGTTGGAAAGGACAGGATGAGGAAGCCAGACCAGCCCAGGGCAGAAATTTTGAGTGGCTGATAAAGAGATGAAAATGGAGAGAAGGCTGGTGTGACTGCCAGACTCCACAATAGCCCTCATGAGCCCCAGCTCCCGTTTCTCATGCCCTTGTGATGTCTCTCCCCATGCTGAGTTGGGCTGGTGTGTGACCACCAAGATATTATGGAAGAGATGGGGTCTGGCTTCCAAGGCTAGGTCACAGAATGGACAGCTTCTGTATGGCACTCTCTCTCTCTCTCTCTCTCTTATCACTTGGTTCTGGGGAAAGCCACCTGCTGTGTTCTGAGGAAACTCAAGCCAACTTACAGAGAGGTCCACATGGCGAGTAACCGAGGCCTTCTGCCAACAGCCAGCACCAGCTTGCCAGCAAGTGAATGAGTGACTACAGAGGGGGATCCTCCATTCCCAGTCAAGCCTTCAGGCGGCTACAGCCCTGGGACGCGTCTTGACTGCAACCTCATGAGAGATCTTGAGCCAGAACCACCCAGTTAAGCTGCTCCTGAATTTCTGACCCGTAAAAACTGTGTGTGAAAATAAATTTTCTACTTCTTTTGTTTTAAGCTGCTAAATTTTGGGATAACCTTTTTCTTTCTTTCTTTTTTTTTTTTTTTGAGACAGAGTCTTGCTCTTGTCACCCAGGCTGGAGTGCAATGGCGCAATCTCCGCTCACTGCAACCTCTGCCTCCTGGGTTCAAGTGATTCTCCTGCCTCAGCCTCCCAGGTAGCTGGGACTATGGGCACATGCCACCACACCCAGCAAGTTTTTCTATTTTTAGTAGAGATAGGGTTTCACCATTTTGGCCAGGCTGGTCTCAAACTCCTGACCTCAGGTGATCCACCCACCTCGGCCTCCCAAAGTGCTAGGATTAAAGGCGTGAGCGACTGTGCCTTGCCAGAATAACCTTTTTTCTTTTTTTCCTGGAGACAGAGGCTCGCTCTGTTGCCCAAGCTGGAGTGCAGTGGTGCGATCTCAGCTCAATGCAACCTCCGCCTCCCAGATTCAAGCAATTCTCCTGCCTCAGCCTCCCAGGTGGGATAATCTGTTCCTAGTAGAGTCATTTATAGATTATTGATAGGGTTGGAGTATGTGAAGAGGGCAGGAAAGCAGAGGTGAAGGGAGAGTTGAGAGGAAAAGTTGGTGATAGAAAAGCAGAGGAGGTAATAAAATCTGGAGTCTGACTTCTCTCACCTTCTCTTTCCCCCTTGTACGCTACTGCATGTTAGTTTTTTGCAAGTAAAACTGCCTTCACGTGAAAATGGAACCTGGAAATGCCAAGGTTTACGGTAAGAAAGAATAACAAGGCTACCCTAACTGCTTTCTCCATATTTAATCAATCTCAATCCTGTGCGGTAGGTCCTATTAATCCCTTTTTCCACAGATAGGGGTGATGTGACTTATCCAAGGTAAAACAGCTTAAGAGTGGCCATGCCAAGATCAAACCCAGGCACTTGGACTTCATGTGCTTTTTTTCCATTTTTAATTTTAAGTCAGAGTCTTGCCCTGTAGCCCAGGCTGGAATGAAGTGGCAGGATCTCGGCTCATTGCAACCTCTGCCTCCAGGGTTCAAGGGATTCTCCTGCTTCAGCCTCCCGAGTAGCTGGGATTACAGGCACCTGCCACCACGCCTGGCTAATTTTTGTATTTTTAGTAGAGATGGGGTTTCACCATTGTTGGCCAGGCTGGTCTTGAACCCCTGAACTCGTGATCCACCCACCTTGGCCTCCCAAAGTGCTGGGATCACAGGCATGAGCCACCGCACCTGGCCCTAAATGTTGTAATAGATTTACCTGTGTGGAGTCTGCTGGTACCACCAGAAACCCTGCTAGACAAATTCTAAAAGGGCTGTTACATTTCACGTGCTTTTGATCACCATCCTGTGTCTGTTTCCAAATGGAGGAGGCAGCAGAGGAGGGAGGGAGCTCAGGTCTCCTTCTTCCTCCAGGTCCTCTGTGTAGCTGCACACCAGGGGGCACCATTCCCACCTTAATAATCTGGCCAAAGCAGACCAAGACTTTTATCCTGGTTACCCTTAGCTTAACTAGAATAGCTCGGAATAATCACAAAAAAACTTAAGAATTAGAGGACAAAAGGAAAATAAACCAGAGTCTCGAGGAGATCTGTAGCCTCGTAACAAAGGCATAGTACAACTTGGCATGAATTGTCTTTATTTCAGAAGCCCCAGGGCTCCCCATGTTCCTGGCTGTGGGAGGCAGCCTGGGGCCACTGAGGTGAGAGAGGCTGTGTGTGGCCTGCAGAAATGCCTCCTCCCTAGGTGACCATCACCAGGAGCAGCCCTGACCTTCAGGAAAGTCAGATTCCCTAAGTCCAAACAGAAGCAAAGCCAAGTTCTAATACCTAGGAGCTAGGTTCTGGGGAAGAGGCCTAACAGGGACCTGCTGGATGGCGTTAGCCTTTAATAACTAATTTTACAAATTTTTGGTCTGATCATGTTGTTTCCAATCATTTGTTTAAGAAGACTGATCTTGCTTTCCCACTGTGTCCTTGGGGCTGGTAGTGTTTATGAGCATGGGCTCAACACCCAGCTATGCCACCATACCCACAGGGTGACTTCCATCACAGGCCCACCACAGAACATCATCCCACATCCTTGTAACCCATGTATCTGCTGAATCTGGATATGCTAATTCCAATCTATACCCATCTTGACAATACTCAGCTCCACTGAGTACTGTCTTCCAAAGAAAACCAAAAACGCTAAACTATTGTGAACTCTGTTATTGTACTAAAGCTTTATGGGGTTAGGTGGAAATAATGGGCACAGTGTGGACAGTTTCACTTTCAAGGAGCTCCCATTAGATACCTATTAGCAAACTTTTCCCCCAAGCCTCTCAGGAAAAGTTGTCACCAGGTATTTTTCTCTGTCTTTCCACCCCTCTTCACCCAGCCTCCTCCCTAACCCCAGGATTTCCTCTCTCTTTTTCCCACACCTCCCCCTCCCTATTCCCCTCCCAATCTCTCAACCCTTTTTCCTGTGGAGCAAATGTGTTACTCAGAAGGCTGAGACAAGAGAATCACTTGAACCTGGGAGGCAGAGGTTGCAGTGAGCCAAGATCACGCCACTGCACTCCAGCCTGGGCAACATAGCAAGACTCCGTCTCAAAACAAAACAAACAAAACAAAACAAAACAAAACAAAAACAAAAAAAAAAACTCCGTTTCTCCATCTTGAAGACTAAACAAGGTTTGAAACTACTTCCAGTTTTTACACTTTATGGTTTTAGGTAACTACTGACAAAAACTCTTTTATGACCAAAACTTTTATGACCAAAACTTATTTTGTTAGGCCACTTCAAAACTGCTTAGCCCCTCTTTTGGTTTTTGTTCTACAAAATCCTCTGCTTGACTAGGCCCAACCTTGGGCTTCCCTCCCTGTCCTTGCAGAATCCAGGCTGAGGCCTGAGCAAGATTCCTGTTAAGTCAGTTCAGGGAAAATCCCCTGTACTTGGTATCTGACTCTGATGTCAGATCACCCCAGCCTGCCTTCAGCAATAAGCCTATCAAGTCGGTTGAGCCGGAAGCCTCTTATGCTGGATGGTTCCTCTAATACTCTTCCATCTGCTGATGCCCACCCTGCTCCTTGGTTATAATCCCCACTTTTCCTTGTTGGAGCTGGATTTCCTCTTTTCCTCCCTGCAAGGCTCCACTACAGTGGTCTCTATACCAATTGCCAGGGACCACCCCCACTCTTTGAATAAAGTCTCCCTTATAGTCTTTAACAAGTATCTGGAATAATTAGTGTTTTTTCTTTAATACTACTTGAACAAAACAAATATATAATCAAGATACCACTAACTCTCAGTTGTCCTAAAGTCTCTCAGTTTAAGGTTAAAGAACCTTAATTACTTGGTCACCACCCTATTTCTTACATGCTCACCTGCAAAAAAATCATTCACAAGTTGAAGAAAGCTTTCCTTCCGCTACTGGCTTTTTTCCAGCCCCTCAAAGAACACAGTCTTAGCAGAATCATCTTTCTCGTAAGAGTACCAAGAAAACTACGAGTACATTTTGTGGAGAGGAGGGTGGATTGTCTATATTTTATATCTCTCTTAATGAGCAAACCAAAGTGTCACTAACAATCCATGATCAGAGATTAAACATATCCTATTTTCATTTTCAGTTCTTTCAATGCCCCTACCAAAATATTAAAATAATTCCCAGACATGTATACAAAGAGGGAAAAACGGTGACAGAACATCAAATTCTGCTTACCCTTAACCTTATTTAGTTCCCTAGTGAATAAAATCCAGATAGTAACAAAACCCTCAATGCCAAAAGCTGTGTCCTGGCAGCTAGAGAGACTGTCAGCTCCTGCACATGCTGTCGTGGCTTGGTTTGCTTGCTTTTATCAATTCTCTGATTCTCTGGAAAAAGATTATCTATCCCCCAAGGCCATTAGAGCATCTAACTAGGATAAATAGTGGTAAAGAGTTCCTGCCCACGAAAAACAATCCTCCATTCTCAGACATTCCCTCTTAACTGATCTTAATAAGCTATTTTAAATGAAGGGAAGGGAAACGCACAGTACTAACACACGGTAATTATCTGTAATTCCTCATCTGTCATGCCACTGAATAAAAAAAAATAAGCTGGTGCCTTGCAATGACATCAAAATTAGGGTATTTGGTACAGTAAAGTAACCTGACTAAATTGCATTATTTAAAAAGAAGGTTTTCATCCCAATGACAATATATACTACAGATTATGGGAACTGTAATGAGATGAAATTTTCATAAGGCAGGACCCATGAGAATAGGTAGTAGTTAGAGAGCTTTGGGATTGTGGCCTAAAAGCTGAATCAGTGTGGCAGAGACATTAGTTACTCATGTTTAATGTAAAATTCAGTGTTTTACAACAGCATTGAAGTAAAAGGACAAAAAATAGACTTCCTAGCCTTTTAGTTAGGTTTTTCGGCAAGTTAACAGAACTATATTCCTAGCATTTTAGAGGTCATTTAAAATCAAAAGTCTTGTTTTACAGATAAGAAAAAGAAAACCCAGAGGAAGTATCACAGCTGTTAGCAAAGCCCACAGGCCTCAGGCATAGTGGTGGAGAACAGGGGGTGGTCCTGGAAAGACAACTGTTCTTTGTCTTACTTATAATCTTATGTTCAATCTTGACCAGTAATCAACATTTCCCTTAATCAACAAATTTGTCTTTATTCCTCTCGGTGTGAATAAGTAATCCTTGAGCATTTACTGTGTGCTAAATGCTGGGGTTACTATAATAATTAAGATACACCTAGCATAGAAGGAACAATTTTACTTAATGTCTCAGCAATAATACAATTTATTAGGTTTTAAAAATTCCATTAATCTTAACAAATGTGAGTGACCCTGCACAAGTATGCATGCATGTGTGAGGCAGGTGTGTGCACAGAATATTAACATGTATTTCTTTGAAATGGTTAGCTGTCCTGTCCTGAAGCCATAGTTGTAATTACTAATAAGCAGCACCAACTGGCCTAGTGGCAAAAACAGAAAATGACAATATTGGGTTTAGAGGTGAAGATGGACTAGGAAGACGGGAGCTGGGATTACCAATGGGTAACAAAAAATGGGGAAGTGACCAAGACCCAGAGTAAGCAGGCACTCAAGTGTCCCATCTGATCCCCCAAAGCGGTCCTAGGTTAAGGATCTCAGCCCCACCTGGGGCAATGGCCTGGGGGAGGAATATGAAGGACCTTGGCATGTGGCTCACTGGAAAGGTTACCCTAGATCTGCCCTAGAACAATTAACCAGCTCTAGGAGCCACTCGCTTTTGCGTTAACAAATTTTGAAACAACAAACCTGAAAAGAGGTAAATCAACTTATTTTTATTTTAGTTCTCTTGAAAGTTACTTCTATTAATAACAATGTACTTCCAATCTGTTCCAGGGAAAATAGGAGAAAAATCTGAAAATAATTAGCTTACTACTAATTCTTAATTTATGTAACTTTTCTGGGAATTGACAATTTAAAAGTCCACTGAAATCACATTATGAACTGACTTAAGTCAAGTTAGTACTTCAGAAAAATGCCTGCTTCTTTTGATAAATATAAGGAACTTGCAGTAATTACAGGTAGGTGAGAGCTAGATACTCCCTACTTCCAAACGTCCTACTAGTCTCAGCCCAAATTCTGCCAAGGATAAGCAAGCAGGCACAAAAACAGATGCTCTGTCCTTTTCCAGAATTCCTCTTTTTATTCTCAGGTACTTAAACATTATACAAGTCTACTCTGAAGGACATACAACATTCTCAGGGCAAGACAAGCAAACCTTACAGTCAATTGGAGAACAAAACGTTCTGAGAAGTGGGGAAGCACAGACCTCACATGCTGCTCTGAAGGTGTCAGAGGCTGGGCTTGGCAGGTTCCCACTCCTCACTCATGCAAGGGTGGTGGAGTTCTAACCATTAAGTTTACTAATAAAAAAAAATTCTTCAACATCTTTAAAGAAATCCTCTAGGGCTATATTTGAAGTGTTTAGGGAACCAACTTTGGAAAATACATTCCTAATAGTATATCTGATCAATCAAAACACATAAAGGGAATTAAAGTTAATTTATGTATACACATACATGACACTGTGTATACATCAGTATTCTCAGAATTCATTACCATGTAGACAACCCTTTGTTTCTACAAAGGAAATTCCATTTTTTTTTTTTTGAGGCACAGTCTCGCTTTGTCACCCAGGCTGGAGTGCAGCGGCGCGATCTCGGCTCACTGCAACCTCTGCCTCCTGGGTGCAAGTGATTCTCCCACCTCAGCCCACAGAGTAGCTGGGATTACAGGTTTGTACCACCAGGCCCGGCTAATTTTTGTATTTTTAGTAGAGTCAGGGTTTCACTATGTTGGCCAGGCTTGTCTTGAACTCCTGACCTCAAGTGATCCACTTGCCTCAGCCTCCCAAAGTGCTGGGATTACAGGCGTGAGCCATCATGTCTGGCTGGAAATTCCATCTTTAGCTCTAATTATTTACTGTTATTTTACCAGGCAAATTTTCTCTTCTAAATTTAAATTATTAGGAACTACTACATCAAATAAAACTTGTTGAAATTTTGCAAAATTGGTTTTGCTCATCTCTATTAGATAACTGTCTATTAAATCAACTGCTAATCATACGGTTACTGTTTATATTTTTAGGACATCATAATCAACACCTAAGATTATTTCTAAGTTCCTCACCAAAGATGACCATATTTTCCTTGTGTTATAGCTTGTGAGTATAAACATTATGCTAGTATTTCACTTCATTTTAGGCTTTTGACAAACTCAAATTATGTTAGCAATATTAAAGTCATGACTCGAAACAAGATTTTTTAAAGAATCATGATGTTCTCCAAGGCTTCACCGCTGCGAATCATTTTGATAATAATTGGAAAACTACTATTTATTATACTTTACCACATTATGTTCATCTCTAAAATAAGAACACCACAACCCCGTGTTCCCATTTTAGAGAAGAGAAACACTTCAGCTCAGAGGAGTTAAGTGAGTTTGCCAAAATTACAGCAGTACACAGGATTCGAAGTCAAGTCTACCAGGCTCAAAATCCTAAAATCTTTTTAATTTGCTACTGTACTCAAGCCCCCAAACAAATTAAACTGCTAAACTATGAAACTCTAAATAACAAAATCACACAAATATGCCACATATCCTATTTCATACCTTTAATCCTCTGAAACTTCCTGGACTAGTTGGAGAGGAACTGGAGGATTTCGTAGATTTAGGAGTAGAAAGTTGGCTGCTGGGAGTTCCATTAACTGCCCATGAGACAACAAAGAAGACAGAAGTCCCATTAAAACCCACAACAACCAGACTGTATAAATACACTAGGTGCATGCACAATATAGGTCCAATGAAGCTTCAACTCGTTTTCAGCTCAAAGCAGACGGCAAATCAGCAAAAAGCAAAAATAATGTATCTTACTGCATTACAGACAAAAAAAAAAAAAACAGAGTGAAACTAGAACTATTTTCAATAGTAGTTTTCTGACAGCTATATAAACAAATATAGAAGACATTATGGAATTAGTGATGTGAACGAGAACTTGTCCATGTATCCTGCCTGCCAGCAAAGGTAGAGATGGCTGTTATATTTGTAATGGTTTACTATGAAGGCTGTTCCATAACCTTCAATATCCACTATCTTGGTGTATACCAAGATAACCAAGAAGTTTGGATAACCAAGAAGTTTGTGTGGCTCTCCCAAATCAAGTACACCATAATACAAACACATTTTCTAAGTATTTTCTTAATGAAAAGGGAAAATTTGCTGGTAGTTTTCCTTGTAATTCCTACTTATTTGCTCAAAGTCTGTGAAAAACATTCTTCAACCTTTTTTATCTAGACTACTTATTTCTAATTCCTTCCATTTTCTTTTCTGTACAGCTTATCCTCTCCATTTGTCAGCAAATCTTGGTAGTTTTCTACACATCTGCTCTAAACCTCCATACGCTTCTTTGGTTGAAAGCTCGATTTAGATCCTATGCTAGAATTATGTAGTACAGAATCTGCAAATGAACCTTTCCCCCAGAAAATTAAATTTGGAAATTTAAAAAATAACTGAAAAAAGTTTTCAGTTTTTGAAAACTTTGAAACCTCTCCCCTAGGAAAGGTTTGCAGATTCTGTACTACAGAATTCTGGTCAAACATTTCAGTATGACTTATGCCTGATTGTATCATTAGAATCTATTTCTGCAGTAATTTCACAAAACTAGTAGTTAACATCTAGTATTGATATATGTTTTTCTCCTCTAAATAGAGTATTTATAATCTGTTTTATTACAAATTTCCAAAGTTTTTGCCCAAAGTAGATGAAAAGTGTCATTCATCTTTTTGGAAAGAAAAGAGATGCTCATTTGCTTTTTATTCTTTTTTAAAGAAAAGATGAGAGAGCGACAACTATTATTTTAAATCACACTAATAAGTATAAAAAACCAAATGCACAGGTAAAGGTCCTGAATAGGGGACTCAAAAAAATGAGTACCAGTCCTTGAGCAGAGGCAGAAATTGTGGATCAATGAGTACTAATGATTACAAGAATCACCTGTAAACAGGAATATCTGCGTTTATGAAGTCATATTTATTGTATTGCTCATTTTAAAATTTCAGTAAAAACGAAAACTTTTTCCAGTTATTTTTAAATTTCCAAAACTTTAATTTTTCTGACTCAAAACCCTCATTCAAAATAATGGTCAGTGATCTAGATTTTATTAACAAATACATGTGGGTACTTAGAATACAAGTGTAGCACAATTAACTGTACAATTAAAAATAAGAGTATTCAACAGCCCTGATTACTTCTCAATCAAGTTAAATTTCAATTAATGTTATTTCTTCTAAAAAAACTTCTTTAAAAGGTAGAGCACAAAAGGTTTTCAGTGAAGTGAGACTGTACAATACTGTAATGGTGAATATATGTCATTATAAACTTGTCCAAACCCAGAAAACAAACAACACCAAGAATGAACCTCAATGTAAAGTATGGACCTTAGGTGCAGGCTAATTGTAACAAATGCAGCACTCTAATTGGGGATGTGGATAATAGAAGAAGTCAACGCAAGTCTGCAGGCAAGGAGGTACACAGAAAATGTGTACCTTTGGCTGTGAACCTAAAACTGCTCTTAAAAATAAAGTCTTTAAAAAAATCTTTTTCAATGGAATTCACACAAAAGAGAGATTATGACCGGCAATAAACTAGTAAGCTTGTGGTGAGGTGAGACTAAATTTTCCTTTTTTTCCTTTTTTTTTTGGTATTTTCTCCACCTCACACAGCAATCTGCACAGATCACCTGCTCCTAATCAGTAAGCACTGTTAGAGTTCACTGGTATTCCAATCCCACACTGATAGCAAAGGCTACCTTGGAATGATTGTAGGAAAGGGACTGAAGGAGAAAAAGCAGTTCTGGCAGATGGCGATCTCTGCAGTAGATCAGTCTCCTTATACATCCCCTGCCCAGGCCTAGTTTCTTAACAAAACTCACTGCCAGGGATTTAACTGGTATCAATAACTACAAGTCTGTATTTTCACCAAAATAACTCATCCTAAAAGAGATACTAATCACATATAGTCCCCTAAGTTTTTATAGCATTTGGAAAGTTCTAAACAATGTGCTTGAATGAGTAGTTCTTAATTTCACTTATCTGCACATTTCTCCAGTTCTGGGGAGGCTAATGGGGGCCCTGGACAGCACCATGTCATGACCTCTCCCCCTGCAACTTCCGCTGCTGCCGCAAGTGGAAGGTATGCCTCCGCCAGCCAGCACCTGCCTCATGCTTCCACTCTTCTGCTACACCCCTGGATTTTCTCTCCTGAAATTTTATCCCCCTCCCCTCAACTCTAAGGAAAGAAAGAAACTTGGGGGCTTTTTTGTTTTCTTTGAATACTTTCTACCTTGGCAGACTAAGAAAGATTCACAAGCTAAAATCATAAAATAATGGCCGGGCATGGTGGCTCATGTCTGTAATCCCAGCACTTTGGGAGGCTGAGGCGGGTGGATCACTTGATATCAGGAATTAGAGACCAGCCTGGCCAACATGGCGAAACCTCGTCTCCACTAAAAATACAAAAATTAGCCAGGCGTGGTGGCGCACGCCTGTAGTCCCAGCTACTCGGGAGGCTGAGGCAGGAGAATCGCTTGAACTCCTGAGGCGGAGGTTCAGTGAGCTGAGATCACACCACTGCACTCCAGCCTGGGCAAGAGTAACCATTTACCCATTTATGTTACCTAGCTTAATATCTATGTGCTTTTTACATACTATTTAGCTATTCTGACAGAGTTTTGTTGAAGGATTTAGTCAACCAGAAGACTTCACTCAAGGCAGTCTCAAGACTTCATTTAGGACTTCTGCCCCAAGATTGAAAAGGTACAATATTATGTTCATAAAGTTACCAGCTCAGTTTGAGTTCCAATTAGTCCCATGGAATTTTTAAAATGGCAACAAATACACCATAGCTAAAGTAATCTGTAAAAGCACTCCTGGGTACCATGGCTTTTAATAATACAAAATCCTCTTCTTCCTGGTGGTAGAAAGTGGAAAGAACACGCTATATAGCACTATACAGATAAGCACTATACAGATAAATATAGTAGCTTTCTTGAGATTCACTCAAATCCCAGTGGTTGACTCAGGCTTTGGGTTTTCTATAGCTAAAGTGTCGAACACACTTTGAATTAATCTCTTATAAAAAAGATCATTTTCTCTCTAAAATGTGGTTTTAAAATCTTACAACTTTTACTTGATGAGTTTGAGGCTTACTCTATTAACTCAAATCCAAATGTGGACTTAATTTAAAATTGTGTGTACTAGAATGCTACGATTTTCCTTAATCAGTTTCTAAGTATTATAAATTCAAGAGTTATGTATATATTTATTAGGCTATCTTCTGGAGCTACTGCTCTGCAGGACAAATGTGGCTATGAGACATGTTTTTAGTTCAATATGTTAATTTTTCTCTTTTGACCTCAGGGGGACAAAATTGAATTAATCACACCCGATTCTTGAACCACTCTCCCTTTTATTAAAATTTTTTTAAAAGAGACAGGGCCTTGCTACATTGCCCAGGCTAGAGTGCAGTGGCTATGCACAGGCACTATCATCATAGCTCATTACAGCCTCAAACTCCTGGCCTCAAGGGATCCTCCTGCCTCAGCCTCTGAGTAGCTGGGACCACAGGTGGTACCTCCGTGCCCAGCTATTTAATTATTTTTACTGATGTAATAAGCATCTGTAAAGCTATCACCAAAACTACATCTACTCTTTGATTAACCCAGGTCAGTGTATTTATGCAAGTCTCATATCTATATTAGCTTTCTCAGTTTTAAGATACTTTACAGAAAGCATGATACAATTTGAAATAAGGTTAATAACAGAGATATTTTCAGATAAAAATGCTCATTGTTAATTGTCACATTTTTAGAGAGAACAGGTTGAGTCTATAACTCTAGGAAAATAAATATTTGACAACTAGAAATATTGCAGTGTTGCTTCCCTGTATGTATAAGAAACACCTCATAATCCTATGCTGGCATATGCTATTATGAAGTACTAATAATTCTAAGATTTCAGTGATTACTAAACTGTTAACCCCAGGGTGGGGAGGGGGTGAGCACAGAAGATCAAAATTGCTTCTATGGCTATTTTCACATTACCAACAAACTTCAGCCTTTTTCAGTAGCAGAACATTGCTCCAAATTAACTAGAAGATGGACCCCTTGCGGTGATGTGCCTCCTCAGTCGCTTTGTATTCCTGACTATACAGACAGGCACTTGGTAATCTTCTGATGATAACCAGTTCTCTAATAAATAGAGGAGGCTAAAGTGTCTTGTGCAATGCAAAGCATTTCATACCACACAGATGTGCACTGGAATAAGCCAGATACATTCATGGAAATGGAGCAAAAGGAAACAGAAAAGTGGCAAAAAACAAAAACAAAAACCCAGCAGAGCAACAAAGCCACAATAGTCATGGCTCACCTGGGGATTTGGCTGTAGAATAGGCACTGGAGTAGTGGCCACCCCGCTTTACTGTACACATGCAGTATACACAGAGTAGAAGACAGTAAGGAGAGTGGTTATTCAGCAGCTCTAAATGTGCGTTCAAAAGGGTAAAACGACCTGCCCTACAGAAAGTGGGGGGGGGGGTGCTGAAAGGGGAAAGGGCGAATAGTGGAATGTCTGAAAAACTTGGTCTTTTATAAAGTCTGATGCTTGAGGCCATTGTTATTGATACAACTTTCCCATGTTCTAGATTCACCAACTGTAAAATCATGGTTTTTCACAATTCTTTCCTTCAGAGGAAATGATATTAACAGGCTTATTCTTAATTACTATAAACAAACCCATAAAATCAATATATGAAGATATTTATGTATGTTTTTAATGTTTAAAAATGTCCAGTCAAAATTATGACAAATTTATAGGCTTAAGACTCGCAAGAAACTTAATTATACTGTTTGACTCTTAAATAAGCAAAATACTACTTTTCAACAATAATCACTGCTATGAATGTATCATTTGATGAGGCAGAAGCCAGTGGAAATATATCAAGTAAATACATTTCTGGGCAGAGTGTGTGCATGTGCATGTGTTTTAAAAAAAAGAGATAATGTTAAGAAAATAATTATCCACAATCATAGAGCACAAAATTCAAAATGCAGTATACAGGGGTCAAAATGTGAAACGCTTCTATGTAAATACCAGCAGAATCTAGATCATCAAGCTGTTCCCAAGAAAACGTGTCAGAACAAAACCACACAAGTCTCTTAGGAGAATTATTGTAACTGGGGAAACAGACTTGACTTTTGGTTTTAAAAGTCACATCATCTCTGTTTTTCTGGAACTTGGCTGCATACGACCCTGGCAAAGACTACTAATTCATAAAAATTAGAGAAAACAGAAGGAAAATGATCTGTTCCTGCTATGACCATCTATTCCTTTTCCATTAACTACCTGAAGCTGGTGATTTGCTGCGTCGAGAGGGCCCAGGGCTTTTGGATCCAGAATACTTAACAGCTGAGGATCGAGAATAAGATGACTTCAGGACACGACATTCTAGAAAAGAACAAAAGTGCATTAACTAAATCTGGTTTTAATAACGACCAAAAGCAGAGTTACATGTAATTGTTTACTGACCAGAACTATTACCTGATAATTAGGTATTACTGTTAAACAATTTAACATACAAAGCAATTGTCCCAAAAGTACACCTGAGTTTACCTTCAGTCAGGCTACACATCTTTTTTTTTTTTTTTCTCTCTTGAGATGGAGTTTTGTTCCCGTTTCCCAGGCTGGAGTGCAATGGCGCGATCTGGGCTCACTGCAACCTCCGCCTCCCAGGTTCAAGCGATTCTGCTCACTGCAACCTCCGCCTCCTGGGTTCAAGCGATTCTCTTGCCTCAGCCTCCCAAGTAGCTGGGATTACAGGTGCCCACCACCATGCCCAGCTAATTTTTTGTATTATTAGTAGAGACGGGGTTTCACTATGTTGGCCAGGCTGGTCTCAAACTCCTGACCTCAGGCGGTACACCCGCCTCAGCCTCCCAAAGTGCTAGGATTACAGGCATGAGCCACCACGCCCAGCCAAGGCTACACATCTTGGGATATCACCTCAGTGTTCCAGATGGAGCTAATTAAGTACAGAAATTCCAATGTCCTAACTTCATACACACAAACATCCACAGCTAATCTATACATGTGCAACTATCTTTTTAAATCAGTAGTATTGATAGGCAAAGACTACAATTTTATTATGCTCTCCAACTTCTTGACTGCCTTATTTTAAAAGGGTATGGGACTCTAACTTATGAACCCCCTCCTGAATTATGTTCCATCTTCTCAAAGTATGGAACATCAAAAATGAGGAAAATAGCTTTTTCTCTCTCTCTTTTTTTTTTTTTTTTGAGACGGAGTCTCGCTCTGTCGCCCAGGCTAAAGTGCAGTGGCGTGATATCAGCTCATTGCAACCTTTGCCTCCCAGGTTCAAGTGATTCTCCTGTCTCAGCCTCTGGCCTGAGTGGACTACAGGCGCCCACCACCACGCCTGGTTAATTCTCTATATTTTTAGTAGAGACGGGTTTTCACCATGTTGACCAGGCTGGTCTCGAACTTCTCATCTCAGGTGATCTGCTGGCCTCGGCCTCCCAAAATGATGGGATTACAGGCATGAACCACCGTGCCCAGCTGAATAGCTTTAAACAACTGTTCTTTCCATAAATCACCAAATAAAATAATATTTAGAGTACCAGAAGTAAGTATTGCTAAAGTAATCACTTCTAAATTGCATAATGAAAAACATAGGTTTTGGAGTTGTGTAGATTTTGAATGAATTATGCATTTGACATTTGTTAACTAGGGGCCTTGGCTGTAAGCCTGAGTTTTTTTTTTTTGCCCCAGTGAAATTGGGATAAGAATAAAATTTACATCATAGGCTTGTTATAAGAGTTAAATTAGGTAACATACTGTCTGTAGTAGTTTACTCTAAAATACTTCAATTTATGCAGGAAGTTTAAAATGTGGATTAATTTTAGTCTATACCCCAGGGGCAGTAAACTGACAAGTGAAGTACACTAACCAGGAAAATACACCCAAGGGGAGGCTAGTTAGCATTTGAAAGATTCTAATCAAAACCTTACACAAAGGGAGCAATTTTTGCTTAATTAGCATTGTGGATGTTAAAAGTATCCGACTGTTGAAAGGTGTGTGTAGATTATTAGAAACATCTTAAATGCATTGCTACTCTTTTATATGAGCAGGATATGTAAATATCAAGAGCCAACAACCTAGAACTGCAGAACTATATCCTAGGTTTATGAATTGGAACCAATCCTGTATCGATTAATCGAGGATGTAGTTACTTCACTAAGATCAGGTAAACTGAATTCCATGCATTCTGAATGGGCCTTTAACACAAGATGTTATTAGAAGCCTAAAAGCAGAGAGTTGGGACCTCATTAAGATTACAATACAAGTTAAATAACTGATTAAAAAAAAATTTGCCTCCTAATAAACGTATCTGTGGCAGAATTAGGTCTGAGACTTGCTCATTGTAAAATCATTGTAAAATTTTACCACATAATGGTGTTGGTGTAATATTATTATTAACAACAACAAAGATAGCAGTGGACGCATATTACTATGTGACAGGCACACTCCCAACTGCATGACATATATTATATTATAATGCATTTGATCCTCAGAAAACCTTATAGCCATTATTATCCCTACTTTGCAGGTTAAGTAACTCGAGATCAAGAAGGAATAAATCAATAGCTCTCACCAACTTCTAACTATTGCAGGCCCTGTTCACCATCAACAAAAACTACCAACGATCCAAGTAGCTTAGATCAAAGTACAACATACCCATGAAGCACTGAGTACAATGCCTGTACATACAAAGTAAGTGGCTCAACAAATGTTATTGTTATACATATTAACTTTATAAACCAGAACATATTTAGTTTCAGTGGCTCAGCTTTCAAAATGACACCTGACATCAAAGAAATATTATGAAACTAAAGCTAAATTTAAGAAAGATGTAAAGTACAGATGATATATAATATAATATATATTATATAATAATATATATAATATATAATATATCTAATATATATTATATATATAATATATAATATTATATAATATATATAATATATAATATTATATAATATATATATTATATAATATTATATAATATATATAATATATAATATTATATAATATATATAATATATAATATAATATATAATATAATATATAATATATAATATAATATATAATATAATATATAATATATAATATAATATATAATATATAATATTGTTTATATAATATATAATATTGTATATAATATATAATATTGTTTATATAATATATAATATTGTATATAATATATAATATTATATATAATATATATATAAATGCCTATTTTATTTAACCTTAACCACACAGGAATGAGGGAGAGCACTAGCACAGATAACGTAACAGGACATTATCTATAATTAAGGACTTTCCAGTGGTGTCACCAGGCTGAAATAGGGCCAGTCCAACAGAATATAATATAGAAACCATCAAATTTGGCAGAGATGAAAAACAAAACAGAAAAACAAAAAGAGTAGATGAATGACCCCCAAGCTCATGAATGACTGACACAGTGCAACAAGAAGTAATGACACAAGGAAGTTTGGTACCACAGAATGTATCCTCTCAAAATTTTAAAAGCCTAGGTATCACTGTATTTGTTTGGTAGTACAGTTCTCTAATCCTGGACTGTCAGAAACACTACAACTAGAAGTGGTTTACTGTCTACCTTTTTAAAAGCCAGCTTTCCTCATTCATAAAATTAAAGAGGAGGATCGTATCTCTAAGATCCCTCTCCTCTGAAATGTGATGTGTGTATAATTTTACTTCATTTAAAGAGGAAGCTGACTTTACTACCAGCTAAAATAATCACTATTACTGTAAACAGGTTTAAAGCAATTTAAGACAATAGGGTAAAACAGTATTCCCAGGACCAATAACATATGAAATAGTTGAGATTATTATTGCCAAATACTACTTGAAAATGCCATATATTGGCAAAAGTTAGCAAAAGGGGATTTTTTCATCTCACCAAAGAAATAGCTTTCTTTCTAAATATAGTCATATGTCACTTAACCATGAGGATACATTCGAGAAGTGCATTATTAGGCAATTTATTCATTGTGTGAACATCATGGTGTAAACTTACACAAATCTACATGGTGTAGCCTAGTACTCACCCAGACTATATGGTATAGTCTATTGCTCCTGGGCTACAAACCTGTATAGCACGTAACTGTACCAAATACTGTAGGCAACCGTAACACAACGGTAAGGACCTGTGCATCTAAACATCGAGAAGGTATTGTAAAAATCCTGATGGGACTACAGTCATATATGTAGCCCATCATTGACCAAAGCATCCTTACATGGTACATGACTGTATATAAACAAAGTAAGTATACGTGTGTGTGTGTGTGTGTGTGTGTGTGTGTGTGTGTGTGTGTGTGTGTGTCCCAGCACTTTGGGAGGCTGAGGTGGGAGGATCACTTGAGGCCAGGAATTCAAGACTAGCCTGGGCAACATAGCAAGACCCTGTCTCTACAAAAAATTTAAAAATTAGCCAGGAATGGTGACTTATGCCTTTAATCCTAGCTACTCAGGAGGCTGAGGCAGGAGGATTACTTGAATCCAGCAGCACAGTCAAGGCTGCAGTGAGCTGTGATCGTGCCACTGCACTCCAGGCTGGGAGACAAAAGGAGACACTGTCTCAATTAAAAAAAAAATGTTGCTACCAAAAAAAACCCAGTGAGGTTGAAAGACACCTCAGATAATCACCATTGATAGTTATTATCCTTTCATCTATTTCTTTTTAATATAGATTTCCTTATGCATACACATCACAAAAAATGGATGACTAATTGTTTCATGTTCAACACTATCCATGCATTTAAGTTGGCACAGCCAACCACCATTCTGAAGGAAGGCATGGAACATCTCAGTGGCAAAACAATGCAAACAATGCAATAAGAGAGGGAACTGAATTGCTAAAAGTGAAAACTACTTGAATTAGGCATTGGGTTATTCTTTTTCTTTTTCTTTCTTTCTTTTTTTATAAGTAGGCAAATGCTTTCATGTTATTCTTTATTTTCATTGGTTCAAAAATTGTACTGCCAATGCTATCTTTCCTCAACATGTCAGACTTCTTAACATGCACCAACTGAGTGGCTAAATCCCAAGCCTTCATTTCAGGGGTTACAAAGATGGAAAAATGAATTAGCTGAAGAATTGCCTTACCACTATGATCCAGGACAAAGTCATCTTGGGCATAACGAAATTTTTCTGGTCCACATGCAATAAAAACATCGTCATCACCAAAAAAGTCTTGCAGACAAGTAACCTGAGAACAAAAATCATGTCCAAGAAATAAATTAGACACATTAGAAGTGAAATGAAAAGCAAAACTAAATGAATTTTTAAGCCTGAATTTTAAGTATTGAAGTGGAAGAGAAAGCTGTGTAATATAACTACGTTTCTAAGCACTTTACCTTCACAAAGCACTTTTACACATTCTCTCAACCTCAGAACAACAGAGTCAAGGATTCATGACATGCATCAATATTCCTTTTTCACAGGTGAAGTCAAGGACGTACATGCAAAAAGGTACGTGATTTTTCCCCCAGGTTCCCCACAGATGGGTGGTGAAGCTGACATTCATGAAGGCCTCTGCTCTCAGTTTAGTATTCTTTTCCATACTGCCCTTCTTCCCTCTCCTAACAACTCTGCTTCCCACTGTGTGACCTTGGGTGTGACTTCTCTGTACCTCTGCTACCGTGCCTTGGGTTGTTTCGAGGATTAATATATAAAAACTGCTTGGAACAATGTCTGCACATGAGTGCTCAATGTGTTAATAGTCACCCCCATCATCCCTACCACCAGCATTATCAAGATCAAGGGAAGATTTGCCATGAAGCTAATGAGGCTTAAGCTTCAGGGATCTTCTAATGCCCTATATCTAAATATGTGGTCTCAATTTCACTTGTTTTTTTTTTTTTTTTTGAGACGCAATCTTGCTCTGTCACCAGGCTGGAGTGCAGTGGTGCGATTTCGGCTCACTGCAATCTCCATCTCCCAAGTTCAAATGATTCTCCTGTCTCAGCCTCCCAAGTAGCTGGGACTACAGGTGCATGCCACCACACCCAGCTAATTTTTTATATTTTTAGTAAAGACAGGGTTTCACCATGTTGGCCAGGATGGTCTTGATCTCCTGACCTCGTGATCTGCCTGCCTCGGCCTCCTAAAGTGCTGGGATTACAGGTGTGAGTCACCATGCCCAGCCCAATTTCACATTCTTTTTTCAAAAAGGGCCTCCCTTCCATACTGTATTAGTTTCAGTTCCACAGAACCTGGATCTATCCCAGGGAGCACATTCATCCATTTATCCCAGTGGTGACCAGAAGAACCATCTTCTAGGACTTTGAACATAGATAGGCTTTATTTTCACCAGTTTTCAATGGGATATGTGGTAAGCTTTCTTCTTAAGAAGTAATCCATTTCCAACAAAGTTAGGAAAAAACAAACAACACTCTAGTACTTGAACAGGCTGACAAATCTCAATATTCGTTAAGTTTTCCGAATCACTATTTAGCTTTTCATTGGGGAAAAAAAGAGGTCTCACTACAGAGTTAGAAAACAATGCTCCAGAGAGAAGAAAGTGAACTAGATACAATGTAGATGGCTCAGGTCATATTATTTAAGTGACCCAAATGATGTGCCTTTTTGCAATGCCAAGAAGTTGACTGCACAGACAGTAAGAGAAACAGGCATGGAGACTGCCTGTTTGTTCCAATTCTCTTCAAGCAAGATGTGGCTTCTGTATCTCACTGAAACGGCTCTAGCTACAGTGTCCAGGGCCTTTAAGAACTGTATTTTCAATTGTTCCTGTTCTCTTCTATCTCCGTTGGTGTTAGCACACACCCCTTCACTCATGCTAGAATTCAGGGAGTCATCCTTTCTCCTTTCCTCACCAACCGCTCACATTTAGGCCTTTTTACTTCTTACATGGTTTTCAAGCGTCTCTACTTCTATTCCTTGGTTCCTTCTCTCTTACCTGGACTCCTGACATGGCCCTGGAACAGGTTTGCTAACCTATCTTCCACCACTCCCTGGAATCTGTCATTTCTGTTTGCAAGGGTATCGGTATACTGTCTCTCACAGGTATGACTGGGTGATCACGTACCACTCAGCCCTCAGTGGCTACCTTTTATGGCAAGATAATGCTCCTTCAAAGGGTGCATTCAACTGACCCCCAACCCTGTCTTTGCCATGTCTTCTGTTCACCCAACAGCCAAGTCAAGATGACTTTGGGTTGCCTGCCCACACAGTGCTAATGGGTTTTTTGTTTGTTCCTTTTGAGACAGGGTCTCACTCTGTCACCCAGGCAGGAGTGCAGTGACACAGTCTCAGCTCACTGCAGCCTTAACCTCTGGGCTTAAATGATCCTCCTACCTCAACCTACTGAGTAGCTGGGACCATAGGTGTGTAGCACCATGCCTAGCTAAATCTTAATTTATTTATTTATGTAGATAGGTAGGTAGGTAGGTAAGTAGGTAGAGATGGGGTCTCCCTATGTTGCCCAGGCTGCTCTCTAACTCCTGGGCTCAAGCAATCCTCCCACCTTGGTCTCCCAAACTGCTGGTGTTTTGTTGTTTTTTTAAAAGCGTTTATTGAGCTGTAATTCGCAGACCACACAATTCACCCAGTTAAGGTCCACAATTCAATGTTTTTTTTAGTATATTAAGAGTTGTGCGACTATCACTGCAATTTACTTTGAATATTTTCATCATCCCCAGAAGAAACACCATGCCCATTAGCAGTCACTCCCCATAAACCCCTTTCCACATCCCAGGCACCCATAATCTACTTTCTAGCTCTGCAGATTTGCCAGTTCTGGACACTTCATGTATACGGAACCATAAGATATGTGGCATTTGATGACTGGCTTCTTTTACTTAGCACGTTTTTAAGGTTCATCCATGTTGTAACATTTATCAGCAGTTCATTCCTTCTATAGCTGAATAGTCCATGGTATGGATATATAATATTTTGTTCATTTTTTCATCAGTTTAGGACATCTGGGTTATTTTTAGCTTCAGAGCTGATTCTTACCACCATGCCTTTCCTCACACTGTTTCCCAGGCCTTTCTGACATCTATCCGTCCGTCTGTCTGTCTGTCTGCCTATCTATCTATCTATCTATCTATCTATCTATCTATCTATCTATCTATCTATCTATCTATCTAACTATCCATCTATCCATCTATCTATCTATATCTATCCAGGGTCTCAACTCTGTTGCCCAGGCTAGGGTGCAGTAGCATGATCACGGCTCACTGTGCAGCCACAACCTCCACAACCTCCTGGGCTCAAGTGATCCTCCTGCCTCAGTTTCCTGAGTAGCTGGGACCACAGCCACCACACTTGGCCTTTTTTTTTTTTTTTTTGAGACAGGGTCTCCCTATGATGCCCATAAGTTTGAGTTGCCAGGAGTTCAAGTCTCAACTCCTGGGCTCAAGTGATCCTCCTGTCTTGGCTTCCCAAAATGCTGGATTTACAGGCACCCACAGCCTGACCACCCTTTAGTGTCCTGACCTCCAGGTGGGCATGGGTGTTCCCTGTTCATCATTCCCACAGGTCTAGTAGAGTTCCTGGCTTTAGCGGGTGCTTGATACAGGTTTGCCAAATGAACTGTGGCTCTGCATGGGCTTCTCCTATTGGAACTGAGTTCTCAGACCAGAGTAACTTTTCCAGGTGAGTGGTACAACGGCTACATTATCCACTGCCCTCACCACCACTTACATTTAGGACTTACTAAGTCTAGGCATCAATTAACCTCTCTGAATTTTCTGTCTATATGGCGGCATGTATTATCTCAATCCCTACAACAATCCCACGAGGTTATACTATTATCATCCTTCATTTATAAACAAGAAAACAGATATAAAGAGAGAAACTTGCCCAGACACAGGTAACAAATGAGAACCCAGCAATTTAGGTGCAAGTCCTCTACTTTTGCATCTCTGCTTTCCAGTTGACAGCATGCGGCTTTCTCATCTGAAATCCCACAGGTCCTCTTTCTACTTACAGTTCTTGTTCATTTTACCTTATTTGTAGTCATTAATGTCTTGTTTTATAGTCAGTTATGTCTACCTTATATTTCTAACTATTTTATTTTTCACATCCATATATTCAATAAATGGTTCTTAAATGGAATTGAACTGATTTTTATTTTTTTTGGCCAAATAAAAATGTATCTACTGCAGTTTAATATAATTTTTTTTAAAAAGGGAAATTGCATTTTTTGCAATTAATTTAGCATGAAGAAATAACTGAATTTTAAAAAACATATCTGAATGAATCTGAAAAAAATCAGTTAATTTTTAATTGATTTTATTACAAGGAAATATTTCACCTGGTACTAAATTAGTTGGCATTTGATTAGCATAAATAACAGTAAATAATCAAGGTACTATCTGGAATAGAAGCATTTAACAAGTCTCAGGAACATAATGTATCAAAAAGGTGACTTTTTTTTTCCATAGAAGCTTATTTGGCTTTTTTTTTTTTTTTTTTTGAGACAGAGTCTCGCTCTGTCACCCAGGCTGGAGTGCAGTGGCATGATCTAGGCTCACTGCAAGCTCTGCCTCCCAGGTTCACGCCATTCTCCTGCCTCAGCCTCCCGAGTAGCTGGGATTACAGGCGCCCACTGCCACCATGCCCAGCTTATTTTTTTGTATTTTTAGTAGAGATGGGGCTTCACCATGTTAGCCAGGATGGTCTCGATCTCCTGACCTCGTGATCCGCCTGCCTCAGCCTCCCATAGTGTTGGGATTACAGGCGTGAGCCACCATGCCCGGCCCTTGGATCTTCTTAATTGACCTTTTAATGATTTCACCTGTCAGTTTAAGTTTGGATTCCCAAACATAGTGTACATAAGATGTCTGCCTCCCTCTGATTCAGGTTCTAGTCACTGAATGCCTATTTGGTTAAGCAGTTAACCAAATTATACAATTTTCTTTTTCTCTTTCTGTTGCCTTGGCTGGAGTGCAGTGTTGCGATCTTGGCTCACTGCAACTTCCACCTCCCAGGCTCAAGGGATTCTCACACCTCAGCCTTCCAGGGACTACAGGCATGCGGCACCACACTTGGTTAATTTTTGTATTTTTTGTTAGAGGCCAGGTTTCACTATGTTGCCCAGGCTGGTCTTGAACTCCTGGGCTCAGGCAATCTACCTGCCTCAGCCTCTCAAAGTGTTGGGATGACAAATGTTAGCCGCCACACCTGGGCACAATTTTTCAACTAGGTTCTGATATGCCTTAATTCAGTCACTGCTACTGGCAAAGAAATGACAGCTATAAAGTGAATAAAAGATATAACTGATGCCAGAAGCAGTGGCTCACGCGTGCAATCCCAACACTTTGGGAGGCCAAGGGGTGCGGATCATGAGGTCAAGAGCTCAAGACCATCCTAGCCAACATGGCGAAACCCCGTCTCTACTAAAAGTATAAAAATTAGCTGGGTGTGGTGGCACGCACCTGTAGTCCCAGTTACTCGGGAGGCTGAAGCAGGGGGAATCGCTTGAACCGGGGAGGCAGAGGTTGCAGTGAGCCGAGATCGCACCACTGCACTCCAGCCTAGCGACAGAGCAAGACTCTGTCACAAAAAAAAAAAAAAAGTACAACTGAGAAACAAAACATGTCGCAGGTATACTCGGGACAGGGACATATCTCACAAGATGTTAAACAACTTCAGCCTCCACCCATTTAAAGTGTTTTTACTGAGCACTCATTATGTGCCAGGCACTATTCTAGGTGCTACAGGATACATCAGTAAAGGAAGAAAAAAGAGACAAAAATTATTGACCTCATTAAGGAAGTGTGTGCACAGGTAAATTTATGTCACAACAGAAGATAAAGAGCACAGAAGGGGAGTAGTGAATGCAGAGGATGGGTGCTGCAGTACTAAAGAGGGTGGTCAGGAAAGGCTTCATTGCAAAGGTGACATTTGAACAAAATACTGGAAGCAAGTCACATGAATATCTGTAAGGGAAAGTGTTCCAGGCAGAGGGAAAGAAATGTACAAAAGCCCTGTGGAAAGATCATTAAAGAACACAGTCTACCAGCAGCTCCCTAGAATAGTCATAAAATGGGCTGGGTGCAGTGGCTCATGTCTTTAATCCCAGTGCTTTGGGAGGCCAAGGCAGGAAGACTGCATGAGCCAAGCAGTTTGAGGCTGCAGTAGCTATGATCATACCACTGCACTATACTCTGGGTGACACAGCAAGACTCTGTCTCAAAAATCAAAAATAAATAACCATAAAATGGATAAGAAAGATTTGACTTAAAGCAAAGCAATGGTTTGGTATATATCTATATATGTGAGCTGCATGCAAAATACGAACATTTTTTAGATAATGTAAATAAACAGAATTGTAAGCACATCGATCTTATTTTTATGCTAAAATTACATTTGCATATTTAACAATAGACCTCTTTAGTCTAATGCAATCATTATTTGCCCATGCTTAAATTTCACAAGTATATGAGACTACACACACACACACACACACACACACACACACACATTTTGAGATAGAGTCACTCTGTTGCCCAGGCTGGAGTGCAGTGGCACGATCACAGCTCACTGCAGCCTCAACCTCCTGGGCTCAGGTGATCCTCTCACTCTGGCCTCTCAAAGTGCTGGTATTACACATGTGAGACACTGTGCCCAGCCTGGGACTACGTATTTAACTGTTCCTAGTAGTGGCCCAAATTCAGTTGATACTTTTTAATGTAGAACATCTGATAAAATGCCCAGGATCTGATATAAAGTAAAGTAACTCTCACCAAGGAATGTACTACTGCACATTCATTCATTCTAACATTAATCAAGTGCCTACTATAATATGCCAGGCATAAATAAAAGACAAGAAGCACACAGTCTAGTGATGAAAATGGACAAGACAACTAATAATTTCAGTTTAAAATGTTACAATAGGGTGAATGTTATAGAAGAACACCCTGACTATTATGGGAATAAAGGAACACAACTTGATAAAAACAGAACCCATAAAATACTTAGTACCTTTAAAATATCTGTTTGGACACTAAGATAATTTTTCTATGTTTTACAACATATTCTGTGTTCTTTAACTCTGGTAATCTGTATGTTCCTTTTACCATTTATTTTTTAAACGAGTTGAACACTGAGGTATGGACCAGGTCGCTAAATCCGTCTGAGGAAAAAAAAAAATCAGTATGAATAACATCTCAGAATCATTCTTAACAAGGGTGAGGAAAAGTGTATCAGTTTAGAAGGCCTCTTACTGTTTGCTTCTAAATTCTTTCTACAATGCAAAGAAGAATTAACTCTTCCAGAAGCTCATCAGGAATAATGGATGCCACGTGGCCTGTGAAAGCAAGCTATACAAACGAGGGGAAAGTAATATTTCTGCTAAGGTGCACAATTAAAGCAATCAGTTAGGATCTAATGGGGAAACATCCAAGTGAAAAATAACGTATCTACAGGAGTCCATCTAAGTTTTCCAAATGAATGAGGGCGACTTTAAAAAGTAATTTTTCTATCCTTCACTAGACAGATTAATCAGGTTAGGGTGAATAGGTGCCAGCCATAATTTCAGTGCTAGCTCGTAACAGCTTGCCACAACCACTCTTTTTCTTTCCCTATTTGGTATCTATTAAAAGATACAAAAACGTGTGAAAGAGGCTTGAGGTCTGATTTATTAATTAATTTTTTTTTTTTTTTGAGATGAAATCTCACTCTGTCGCCCAGGCTGGAGTACAATGACGCTATCTCAGCTCACTGCAACCTCCACCTCCCCGGTTCAAGCGATTCTTCTGCCTCAGCCTCCCGAGTAGTTGGGATTACAGGCACCCACCACCACGTCCGGCTAATTCTTGTACTTTTAGTAGAGGTGGGGTTTTGCCATGTTGGTCAGGCTGGTCTCGAACTCCTGACCTCAGGTGATCCGCCCGCATTGGCCTCCCATTACAGGCATGAGCCACCATGCCAGGCGAGGTCTGATTAAAAAAAAAAAAATACTATGCATGATATGATCTGGCTCTGTGTCCCCACCCAAATCTCATCTTGAATTGTAATCCAAACTGTAATCCCCACGCGTTGGAGGAGAAACCTCGTGGGAGGTAATTAGATCATGGGGGTGGTCCCCCTGTGCTCTTCTTGTGATAGGGAGTGAGTTCTCTCAAGATCTGATGGTTTTATAAGGGGCTTTCCCCACCTTGGCTCATTCTTCTCCTTCCTGGACCATATGAAGGACATGTTTTCTTCCCCTTTGGCATGATTGTAAGTTTCCTGAGGCCTCCCCAGCCATGCTGAACCGTGAGTCAATTAAACCTCTTTCCTTTATGAATCACCCAGTCTCAGGTATTTCTTCATAGCAGTGTGAGAAGGAACTAATACAATGCATATATTAGTAGCATAATAAACCCTTTCCTCAAAACAAAAAAAAGAGGACACACAGAGATCATCTTCTCTGGACACTTACATTCTGAACCCGAGTGGGGTGTGTTAGGAATTAAGAGTAAGAAACATAAGACTGGCCGGGCACGGAGGCTCACGCCTGTAATCCCAGCACTTTGGGAGGCTGAGGCGGGCGGATCATGAGGTCAGGAGATTGAGACCATCCTGGCTAATATGGTGAAACCCCGTCTCTACTAAAAATACAAAAAATTAGCCGGGCATGGTGGCGGGTGTCTGTAGTCCCAGCTACTCGGGAGGCTAAGACAGGAGAATGGCGTGAACCCAGGAGGTCGAGCTTGCAGTGAGCCGAGATCGCGCTACTGCACTCCAGCCTGGGCGACAGAGTGAGACTCCGTCTCAAAAAAAAAAAAAAAAAAGAAGAAGAAGAAGAAGAAGAAACACAAGACTGACACCCATTTCCTGACCCATTGACACTCTTTGGAAATCTTGTGTTTCTTACTCTTTCCAGAAGTACACAGGAGTTGGTGTCAAAGCAAGTTGGATTTCTCTAAGACCCCTTCCTGCTCTAAGATTCTAAAGTCTAAATATTTTAGTTTCTTAAAAGAGCTATTATTTATATTTTAGGAGACTGCTTTTAGAAAAGTTGAAATGCATTTTTCTGAGAGAGAGTAAAAGAAACACTATTTTAAGTGGCTACATAGTAATGTCCATCGATTTCTTTCTGTTCAAGATTTAGCTTTGCATGTCCTCAAAGAAATCTTCAAAGCCCCTCCAAATCCAGATGTTTCCTCAATACTCTAACTCACTCAAGATAGATGTTATCATTGAGGTTAACTGCCTGGTTTTGTGTCTGGACCTCTCACCAGACTGAGCACCATACATGCAGTCTTGTTCACCACTATAATTCCAGCATTACATAGCACCTAGCATATAGGCTTTGCTTAATACATTTCTGTTGAATGCATAATGATTGAAATGCCTTGAGGCTGGGTGTGGTGGCTCACGCCTGTAATCCCAGCACTTAGGGAGGCCAAGGCAGGCAGATCACTTGGGGTCAGGAGTTCGAGACCAGCCTGGGCAACATGGAGAAACTCCATCACTACAAAAAAATAGAAAAATGAGCCAGGTGTGGTGGCTCATGCCTGTGGTCCCAGCTACTTGGGGGGCTGAGACTAAAGGACCATTTGAGCCAGGAAGTGGAGGCTGTGGTGAACCAAGATTGCGCCACTGCACTCTAGCCTGGGAAATAGAGTGAGACTCTGTCTCCAAAAAAAAAAAAAGAAAAAGAAAAAAAGAAATCAAAAGAAATGCCTTGGGTCCTACTTTTTCCAGGTAGCCCTCTCTAGAGGGTCCATCTCATACTCTATGGATTCCTATCAACTCATTATAATGCAGAGTAGTCCTGGTTCCCAAATTTATGATGTTAGTTTTCTATCCCAAGATAACCTATAAATTGTTTGGGTAGACCAGTCAAATCCTATGTAGCTCCTTATAAAAGATATAGCAAATACTTGGTTGATCAAATTTTGGCCCTGGACACCTTAAAATAACTCTAAAAACTGATCTTACATCATATAAGCTCTTTCAAGAATTAAATCTCTTTTATTATTATTTCAGGATGATTTGAGAAAAACTACTTGTGAAATCTGCTACTGCAACAATTTGGTAGAAGGGATTTAAAGCACTGCAATTTGCAATTACACTCCACATTTGGTGCTATTCAGAGACTTCAGATTGCATTAAATGAGGGTCTCTTGAGATATTTTCCACGGCTATTTTATTGACATTTTCTAAGATCTGATAAAAATTCAAAAGGAACATCACTGGATCTCAGTGAGAAACTGGTTTAAACTGGCATCTACTTATCTAAACAGAGTAAAGGGAAAATCCTAGCCCTCTTGAAATGTCCATCTTTTGAACAAGGACCACATTTTATAGAAGACGTAATGGGAAGATAGATATCAGGAGTATAGAATAGATCAGCATTTTTTATGGATTTTCTTTAACTGTGTTGGCAGGTGGTGGGGGCGGTTGGTGGTGTGAAAGAGAGAGAGAGAGAACAAAAATCCCTACCTCCTGCTGAAATTAAATGCTTTCATTATCAGAATTCAGCTAAAAGGCTGTCTCTATCTAAGAGTAGTTAAAAAAACAAAATATTTCTACATTGCTTCTAAAAAGGATTTGAAGGAACTCAGAAAGGAAGTCCAGTAAATGGCTTATCTTTGAAACTAAAAATACTCTATAGGCTTTTAATAAAACTATATTGATAGCCTTCATTTTTTTCCCTAAGAAATGGTCATGTTACAAGTCATAAAATGCCAAAAGGGAGCTGCATTTCATTTTAAACCCCCCAAACAATATTCTACTACATATAAGTTTTCTATCATGTAAGCAAGCAGAAATACAACTTTTTAAAGATGTAAAGAACATACCACAACGTTAACATGCAATAAACGATGACCTAAGATCTGCCTGAGCCATTATCATTATTTCTATTGCTGGCATGAGACACTTATTTTAAATAACTGCCCATCTAGATGCTTGAAGGCTATAAAATCAACAAATTAACTACATTGTAACTAACGTTATTCCAGACATGACTCTTTCCCACTCCATTTTTCTTAAACAGTTCTACCCCTAGGATAAAAGTTTTGCTTCAAATGATTTGGGAGGCCAGGTAGAGTGGTTCATGTCTGTAATTCCATCACTTTAGGAGGCTGAGGTGAGAGGATCGCTTGAGGCCGGGAGCTCAAGACCAGCCTGGGCAACATAGTGATACTTTGTTTCTACAGAAAATCAAAAAATTAGCTGGGCGTGGTGATGCACAACTGTGGTCCCAGCTACTGAGAGGCAGAGGTGGGAGGATAACTTGAGCCTGGGAGGTCAAGGCTGCAGCGAACCGAGATGGTGCCACAGCACTCCAGCCTGGACAAGAGAGTGAGATCCTGTCTCGAAAAAAATTTTTTTAATTAAAAAAAAAAATGAACAGGGAAACCATATCTGAAATAAAGGAAAGGTAAATCATTTGGTCCTTCCAAAATGCTAGTGACAACAACCAGATAAACAAATTCACAGGTCAGTAAGCAGAGGCTGGGATTCTCCCCATTTCTTTACCCTTGGCCCAGAGTACAATGAGCATAAATAGCCCTCTTTGTTCCCAGTAAATGTTGGCTGGCCTACAGTAAGGGAAGGACCCTTTCTACAGGAAGAAGAAAGCTACTTAGAATAGCAATGTTTTTCAGCTTCCTGTAAATTCATTCAGCCAGGCACTCAGGGACCATGTGGTTGCCATGGAAACAGAACTGAAGCTAAAAGATGACAGTTCTTACAGTAAAGGGCTTCTCAAAGGCATCTGCAGACAGCTCCCTACATTTGGTTTGCTTCCTAAAAAATAAAAAAACACTGGATCTAACCTTTTCCCACTGCAACCTTCTCATAATAATAACTATTCACCAGTTAAGACCAATCATGGAATACTGAGACCAAAGATTTGGCTTTAGGAAGTGCCTCTTTCTATCAATAGGATGAAAAGGTTTTAAAGAATTCAGAGATATTGAGCTTCTAAATATATTCTGGGAGGAGAAGCAATCATCATTCTTCCTGTAAAAGAGGTCATTTCTATGTCAGTCCTCTGATTGCCCCCTACTGAGAGCCGCTCCCTACCCCCAGTCTTAATTCCCACAGGAAAAGGTTTCAAACCCACTCTGGAGCTTTCCACCAAGTGAAGAAGGCTGGAACTGTAGGGGCAGAAAGGTGATCCCTTTCTTCCCCATCGTAAGGATCACGGTAGACACTCCTATAACAAAAGACAGGTTAACAAAAGAAAAGCATAACAAATTTATTAAATTTTTAAAAATTTTTTTACATGACAAGCCCTCACAATGAAGACCCAAAGATACAGCTATCCACTTGTATGCTTAGGTCCAATCAAGAGTGGACAGCCATGTAGAAATATAATTGGACAAAGACTGTGACATAATGCTAGTAGACTGAGGTAGAGAAACTCAGCAATGCCTGTCTGTCCAGGGTGTTCCCGATCTCTGTGTGCAGCAGTCCCTCCTCCTGGGTTTGGGGCAGGACTCTTTCTGGAATGGGGGTCTTATGATCTACTACCACACAAGGTAGGTCAGATAATTTCTTTATGGCCAGCTCTTACAGAGAAAGGTTTGGGGAAAGTTAGAGGAATATTTTCAGGTTTTATGGCTGGCCTTGGGGAAAAGGGTTTCTGGTTTCTACGACCCACCTTGGGGAAGAGATTCTAGTTTCCGTGGCCTGCCTGGGGGAGAAAGAGGGGTAAGAGACCAGAGGGCAGGAGAAGGTCAGAGAGAGACTCTGCTTCTCAGGCTGTTTCTGATGCCTTCACTTTGGGGTATTGTGTTCTGCGCCCCAATAGAGCAAAGTTTTAGAAGAACTCAGGTGAAGAAGTCAGAAGAAACCTATTGAGTCCAATGATCATGAGCTTTTATTCTGAAGAAGCTAGAGTGGAACGTGTTCAAGCAGATGTGACTGGAACTTAAATAAATGCTCTCTAGGACTCAGTCATCTTCAAATAATAAACAAAAAATGAAATCATAAGTGTTATAGAGAAGGCAATTGAGAACCAAAGCAAAAGGTGGCAATCTTCCAATCCAAAATTTTCTATTTCCAACAGAAATGGAATGGGAACAAGCATGGAATACCTAACTATGCAATGACACAATGAATTTCACGTAACTCCCAGGAAACTACCTTGTGAAGTGGGGACTACCATTCCGATTTTACACAAAAAGAGGCTCAAAGAGGGTAAGTAACTTGTGCAAAGTCATACAGCCAGTAAGGGAGGAGCTGAGATTTACACTCTAACTTGGAACATACTCTTTATACTTGGACCACATACTGTCTCCCTAAAGAAGTATTAACAGTGTAATTTACAACCTATGAAAAAACATAACAGGGCTTATTGAGGTAAGTCAGATAATTTTTTATACTTGTCTAAAACCCAAATAATCAAACCATTTTTCTACATCTTACTTTTATGGAGTAAATGAATGGCAAGTATGTAAGCTTATATCTAGGATTTTTTTTTAAGGATCAACTTCTAAGTAATATCATAAGGTCGGTACAAGTTTAGGCCAATCTCCCATACCTTACGGAATACTGAATATGTTTGGAAATTGATATCTTCAAACAAACTGTCTAGCTCTTTAAAAACAAATTACAAACCCAAGTTACAATCACGGTTTTATTAGGTTGGTGCAAAAGTAACTGCAGTTTTTATCATTACTTTCAATGGCATAACAGAATGGGACTCTATTTGCTGACAAACTGGGAATTCTAAGGGTATAAATATGTATTAATAATATTATGACCTTTAAAATTTTTAAATCAATGCAAAACCTGCAGCATTTTTCGGGAATTGATTGTCTGTACATAAAAATAAGATTAGTCAACCCTTTTGGTGTCTGTTTAGCATACAATGAGCACATCCAGGTAGTTAAGACCCTTGGAATCAAGACTAAGAGAACCATCAATTAAGGAGGTATGGTTGGTTAATTCTATACTTATTTTGAAAATAAGTTAGTTAATTCTATACTTACTTTGGAAAACAACAACTATTCAGCACGAATAGCAAAGACACCATGACTACATTCTACTACAGTGGGACTATTTATGTTTCTAGGAAAATCATCACTATTAAAAGAAGAAATCTTGGCTGGGCGCAGTGGCTCACACCTGTAATCTCATCACTTTGGGAGGCCGAGGTGGGTGAATCATGAGGTTAGGAGATCGAGACCATCCTGGCTAACACGGTGAAACCCTGTCTCTACTAAAAATACAAAAAAATTAGCCAGGCATGGTGGCGGGCGCCTGTAGTCCCAGTTACTTAGGAGGCTGAGGCAGGAGAATGGCGTGAACCTGGGAGGCAGAGCTTGCAGTGAGCCGAGATCGCGCCACTGCACTCCAGCCTGGGCAACAGAGTGAGACTCTGTCTCAAAAAAAGAAAAGAAAAGAAATCTTGACTATTTTTATTTCTTCTTAATAAAATTATTTTCCCTCCCTTGGCATCGTGTATCAAAAGACAAGATGTATCTTGTATCAAAAGACAATCTTAATCTCTTTCTTAGCAGCCCCTACACCAACTTCTGATTTGTTGCATTTAACATTTGTGAGCTTAGAAAGAGATATTTCAAGTTTAGGAAACTTAAGTGTAAAATAAGAGTAAACTGGTTGAAAGTTAGAGGCTTTGATTAGGAGGAAAGAAAATAAACTTCAGTTCCCAAATTTCAGACTGCCGAATGACAAAGTTCTCTCTGCTTATTTCCTAGTTTTAAGTTGTGGTCCGGCAAGGTGAGTAGATTAGAGTCCAAAATCAGTGGGGCAGTTCTGTGCTGCAAACAAGATTTTGGTTTGTATAGCTGCATCTGTTTTCACATGACAAGGAATCTAAATTTTCATTTTCAAACCAACATAAATCTTACAAGAAAAGCAATAAGATTTTTTTTTTTTTTCCCTAGAGCAGCCTTCTTAGTAGATGAAGTTCTCACATCTACGGTCGAAGAAATCCTCTGAATAAGCTACATGCCTGTGGCTGTTCAGAAACGAAAAGCATGCCATCCGTTTGAATTATTTATGGCAACATTTTAAAAGTGAAATTGATATTGGCTGAGGCATACACCACAATTAAATTTTCCTGTTTAAAAGGCACCTGTTCCTGAAATACAGCCAAAACTTTTTATGCTAACATATGTACAACTGATTTGCAAGTTGATAGAGCAAATACTTAGTTTAGAAGAATTCAAAGCAAGATAGTTCATTATTTAGATTAATTGGCTTATCAATGCCTACTCTAAATATGCAAATACCCATAGAAAGGTTATGACTGTTGGCTGTGAACCTCTGCCCCCATTTACGTGGAGCTTCACAATGAGGGTAGAAAACTCTTTTTGTTTTCATTTTAAGGTAATTCATATATTTAATTCAGGATTGAAGAGTTACAGCAAATAATTCCCAGCCCCCAGAATTAACAAATATCATTTGGTCATGTCTACTTCAGATCCCTTTAATACATGGAAACAAAACATTACAAAGTTAAATTCTCTTTTGTTCCTGGTCCCCAGCCCCAGTGCCCTGCTTCCTTCCCCACCAACCCAGGACAATTCTGTCAAGCATTTGGCATATATCCTTCCAACCCATGTTTTCAGACCTCATATTATAGAGGTATGTGTCCACAGACAACCAGGAATATTATTTGGTATGTTTCAAAACTTTTATGTAAGTTATGTCATACTGATTATGTCTTTACAATTTTCTTTTTTCACTAAGTACTGATTTTGAAACCTAAGCAGTTCTTAGTTTTTCTTACACTCTCCTTTTTGGCTCATCGATCTATTCCTCAAACTTTTGCTTTTGAAAGATAATTCTATCATTAATATCATTACTTTTCATAAACTGCAAAGATAAATTCTTTATACCCTTAATACTTCCAAATTCTTTCAAATAAATGCCTTTCTCAGAATGTTCAATTTAGTGTATGTGTTATAACCATTTTAGTGACCAAAGTTCTTCGATGGAGGAAAAGATGTTTGAATCAATTCATTCCTCGCCCATAGACTACATCTCTAATTATGAAAAAGAAATGTGAAGCAAATGCTTGACATTTGGGCCTAAATATTTATGCAGAGCTGTTACTCCATACAGGGCTTCTTGACCAAAAGGAGCATCAACTCGGAAAAAAAAGCATTTTAAAATAACTAAAACCTAAAATTATTCAGGTTGGAGCTATATCTAAGCTTCTAGAGAAAACAAAAAAAACCCTGCAAGATGTCTTAAAATCACTGATTCATAGAAAGAGTTCCTTTAAAAAAACAAAGCAAAGGAAGGAAAAACAAAATCATATGAGATTTATTCTACATTATAACACAAGACAGGGTTTAAAGGCAGAGGACACTTGTTTCACAGGGAATGCATAAAAGGAATCCCTCCCTGAAGAATTCCTTAAGCTGGGAAATACTGATGAACTGTATGCATGTAGCATCTTATCTTTTTCTTGCATTCAGAGACATGATATCCGTTCAAAGAAACATCTATTTCTTTTTTGCAAATCTCTAGGGGTGTCAATTAAACTGGGACTGGGACCAGCAAGTAAGGGAAGTTGTCTGTAAGCATTTATCATCAAGCTCTATGCTTTGCTGGAGGAGCCAGCTGTCTTAAATAACCATCCCCTCCCTGGGGCCACAAGTCTGGGCAAGAATGCTACTCATGTCAGAAACTCATGTCATAAGATTAGATTTGAATGGAAAAGCAAAGGGAATGCAGTCTCTTTTCTCCAGCTGGGACTGATTATTCCCTTCCCAACAAGGAGGCTGTTATTTAGCCTGAGAAGAAGAGCCTCCTTACTTCTTGGATATTTTCCAATCCATCTTGGCACCTGAATGAATACCCTGCCTTACCACAGCATTAAGGCCTCTCAGCCCCTCTCCGGGAAGATGTTTTGGTACATTATTTCTCCATTATTATGAACAGAAGTCACCCTTGGATTCTCATGGTGTGGCAAGGAAACTTGGGAACGTAGGCAGGTGGATATGGCCTGATTGAATATCAAGGGTGGAGGCTTAGGTAGGTCACCATGAGCTTGCAGCAGCTCAGGAAAGTTAGGAAGACACCCAGCACCTGGAGACCGTATCTTTCTCGCTCTTACACCCAGAGCACTCAGCACTGTGCCTGCGCCTGTGCCGTAGGCACTCAGGGAATATTTAGTGATGGGTGAGTGGATGAATAGCACAGAGGCAGGGACTCCAGGCTCAGGGCTCATAGTATTAGATTCATGGCGGAAGGACAGCTTTTACTACAAGGATAGGCATGGAGATGGCTATGGAAAACCATGGGGCTTAGGCAGAGAACAGATGTGATGAGACAAGAGGGAGGCATGACAGCACAGAAGCAAGGATTCGAACATTAGTGGGATCCCAAACGTAAATAAATGTTACTTCCGCAATAAATTCCAGCCACCTATCTTCTTCTGCCATAGCTGGTTGCCTCGGGCAACTTACACGATTTAAAGATACTCTGGCTTACAGCACAGGCAAAGATAAATGGGAGCCCGTGTAGACCTCAGTGCAGGAGCTCTATTATGGACAGAAGAATAGGCCAAGAGTTAGGAAGGAGCACGGTACAGAGAGGGGAGAGAGGGCTTCTCCAATGCCAAGAGGCAGGGCCACTTCCACCTTACTAAAGCATGAAGACACGCCAAAATGAGCTACAGGAATCAAGACATATTCTACAGTAAGTGCAACACATTATTTAAGCTCACAGAAATTACAACTGTATACATTCATTACATGATCATTTTTCAAGACTAAATATGAAACCGTCAAAACTGTGAGGCCTGGGACAAAGACTCACCAAGTCCTTCCTCCACCACCTCCACCGGTTGACAACAAGCCCTGGCAGGGGACCAAAGAGGGGCTCCTTCATCTGGGTGAAGGACAGCCCTCACTTGCATTTCTCACGTGTTCTGCCTTAGTCTGTCGTGAGTCCCAATTCTCCGACCCATGGAAATACCCATTTCATTCCCCTCCAGCCACAGGAGAAAGACTGGCTCAAACACCCAGAAATTAGTTCCCTCCTGAATCTGGAGACCACAATTGCTGGTTCTGTTCAGCGTATGGTTGTTTTCTTCAGTACTTCCTAAATGGTTTGTGGAAAGTCAGCCAGCACTCTCACAGGTAACCGTCCTTGGTTGAAATCTCCCTGGGCTAAATAGTCCCACCAACACAGGAATTTGCTGAACAAAGCTTTATATATATATAAATATATATAGATAAATATATATAAATATATATAGATAAATTATAAATATATATAAATATATATAAATTATAAATATATATAAAATATACATAAATTATATATATATAAAAAATATAAATATATAAATATATATAAATATATATATAAATATATAAATATATATAAATATATATATAAATATATAAATATATATAAATATATATATATATATATATATTTTTTTTTTTTTTTGCGACGGAGTCTCACTCCATCACCCAGGCTGGAGTGCCATGTTGTGATCTCGGCTCACTGCAACCTCTGCCTCCCAGGTTCAAGTGATTCTCCTGCCTCAGCCTCCTGAGTAGCTGGGATTACAGGGGCACATCACCACCACCTGGCTAATTTTTGTATTTTCAGTGGATACAGGGTTTCACCATGTTGGTCAGGCTGGTCTTGAACTCCTGACCTCAGGTGATCCACCTGCCTCAGCCTCCCAAAGTGCTGGGATTAGAGGTGTGAGCCACCGCGCCCAGCCTAATGTATTTTTTTAAGTACCGTCTTCACTTAAAACATTATTTTGTGATTTATTCAGAAAAGTGGGACTCTGAAATTACTACATTCAGTAGTCTTGAACTCCTGACCTCGTGATCCGCCTGCCTCGGCCTCCTAAAGTGCTGGGATTACAGGTGTGAGCCACTGTGCCCGGCCTCAGGTCCCCTTCTTAAACGAAGCGTGGCCGCAAACACAAAAGTAGCTCACGGTTGCATGAATTTTCAAAAGCAGTCCCCGCTTCTGACAAACATTAGTCTGGGAGTGGCATGGAAGGCACGTTGTGAAAGAAGTGGATGGGACTATTATATAAAACAAGAAGCACTGCCTCTATACTCTTCCTGACTTAGGAGACCACCTTGGGAATATCAATGCTGACAAGCAGCAGCTTCATAAGAGAGGTCTGACAATGAGAACAGATTCCAACACTTCCTTCCTGGACAAACAGGATGCCGCATGGCTACTCAGTAGGGGAAGTGCTACGTACATCAAAGAGGGCAGAAAGGATGTCCAGAAACTGGCTCTGTGGGTGTGCACATGCGTCTGTGCCTGTGTGTGGTGAGTCCATGAGGGAAGCAGTTTTATCTGAGTAGTGGTGACTGCCATTCCCGGAGTTCATTTCCTGGGTATCACTAAAGTGCGGTGTCTGAGGACTGCTACTGTTAGCAATTCATGTTTTGATATACCCTCCTTCTTTGCCTTCAGTACAGTGGGATTAATAATCATGGAAGATTCATAACCCCTTCGACTTCATAGGAGTTCAGCAATCCTTCCCTCTTAAATCATCAAAATCGTTGTCAAATAAATAATTTGAATATTACTCTCATCACTGCCATGAGCTGTTCATGTAATAAAGCCCCTTCTGCTCCTTTTGTTTGAATTGGCTTGGCTCTCTTTTCTCTCCCAACCTCATCCAGGAGCAGCACTCCTATTAAAATTCATGAAGTTTCCCCCAATGCAAGTGTCTGATTGCAGCTGTCAGTTTCCCAGTTCAAGGATTTTCATACTGCCTGAGAGGACAATGCAAGGCACTCACTGCTAAGGAAATAGGTCAAGCTCAATTTTTCTATTTCAGTTCTGCTGCCAAAAGTGGAGACTTTTCCTTCTAGAAAAAACACATCCTTGTGGGTAGGCTCAGCACTTCAAAGGAGGTGAAGAGGGCACATTTCTTTCCTTCACCAGAGGGAGCTGCCATGGCTTCATCACACGACACCTCAGAATTCCTTAGGAGCCTTTATTCCATCTCTGGTGACACTCTGAAAGAGCAGTTCTGTCTGCTCTTTGTCTTATTATGCTTCACAGACATCGAGACACCAAACAACCCAGACCACAAGAAGAGGGAAAGTGAAGACAAGGCATCCAACACCAAAAAGATACTCAATGTCCAAAAGTCAGAGACTATCCTGTCGAGTCGGCTGGTTTTTTGCATCCCATGCTACCACTGCAGAGTGACGGGCAGGAGAGTGAAGGGCACTAGGTCTGCTGCACACCATAGCCCAGATCCATCTCCCTCACCCCACCTCTGCCCTTCCCCTAACTCCCATACATGTTACACCCCTCTACTTTTAGCAAAAACTGTGGAAATGATTTGTAAGAGGGAAGGAGAACAGAAGATCCTTGGATCCTCAGAAAGTCAACAGAATTCAGAACTAGTGCTAAATTACTAAATAAAACTAGAAGAGACCTAGCATTCACATGAGGCCTACCCCATTTCTAAAGATGTAGAAACAGAAACTTGGAGAAATTAAGTGGATTCTCTAAGACACAAATGTAGTACAGGGTTAAGAAGCAGCCAAGTCTCCTGACTTCTAGGTGTTCCTCTACTCCATTCCTACGACAAGGAAAGGGTAGAGATGGATAATTGAACACCCTTGGATCTAGCAAAATTTTTTGTACTGCCAGGCAAAGATGAGAAAGAGCAAGGTATCCCCCCCCCCCCCAAAAAAAAAAAGAACACTCTCTAGAGTGAGGAGAACTGCATGTTTAGTAGCCTTGAGAAAGTTATCAACTATTCTGGGTCTCACTTCCCTCATAAAACTAGGGGTTTGTGGGTCCATGATCTATGGATTTCTTTTTTTTTTTTTTTTTTTTTTGAGACGGAGTCTTGCTCTGTTGCCCCAGGCTGGAGTGCAGTGGCGCAATCTCGGCTCACTGCAAGCTCCGCCTCCCGGGTTCACGCCATTCTCCTGCCTCAGCCTCCTGAGTAGCTAAGACTACAGGCGCCCGCCATGATGCCCGGCTAATTTTTTTTTTGTATTTTTCGTAGAGATGGGGTTTCGCCATGTTAGCCAGGATGGTCTCAATCTCCTGACCTCGTAATCCACCCGCCTCGGCCTCCCAAAGTGCTGGGATTACAGGCGTGAGCCACCGTGCCTGGCCAGGATTTCTTTAGTCATACAGGCCACACTGCCAAATATAGGTTTGCTGAGAGCTGCTGCATATGGGCACAAAGAAAATTTAAAAAGGATGAATAAGAGAGGGGCTCTTTCATCAAAGAGCATTTCCATTTCTTTCCTATTATCTACTAGGTTAAGCCAAGTCTTCAAGCATGTGGAACAAATGACTCAGAACAAACTATGTTACTCAACTCAATAACTACCGTGTACAAAGCTCAAAGCTAGGCACTGGAGGAGCAACAACTAAAAAGAGCTTGAACAAACTGACAATCTCTTTAAGCAGAACATAAGAGACACGCAGATGAGAAGGCAATAATTTAACAACATTATTAAGTCATATTCTGGACATGTCACAAGATGCACGCATTTGTCAATTTATCTTTTACCCAGTCAGATGAGAGAGTGGCTGGGAGGACCCTGAAAAAGCTTCCTTAGAAAAGAAGTGGAATGAGTAGACCAGCCAGTGTGAGGGATTCAAGTATAATCACGGAAGAACTAAGAGCATGGACAATGGAAGTTGTGGTAATGCTATTTGACACTATTTCCAAGCACAAATTTTATGCGGTAGCCAATGTTTGGTTTTCTTAAACTCTCCTCTCCTCCTACCCTCAACCTAAGTCCTCAAGTTCTGCTACCTCAAGGTTGAGTTCAACTCATATTCTCCAAGAAGGCCCACTCCAGTTAACACTACAATCCCTCAACCCCGACATTTGCTTTCTGCATTAAATATGCTGAATTTTAATTTTGACCTTTTTCTAAATGAACAGCTGCAGCAAAGCCCAACTTTTAATTGAACTTAGTCAACTAAAATTAATTTTTTTTTTGAGACGGAGTCTCGCTCTGTCGCCCAGGCTGGAGTGCAGTGGCGCGATATCTGCTCACTGGAAGCTCCGCCTCCCAGGTTCACACCATTCTCCCGCCTCAGCCTCCCAAGTAGCTGGCACTACAGGTTTCCACTACCACGCCCAGCTAATTTTTTTGTATTTTTAGTAGAGATGGGGTTTCACCATGTTAGCCAGGATGGTCTCAATCTCCTGACCTCATGATTCACCCGCCTCGGCCTCCCAAAGTGCTGGGATTACAGGCGTGAGCCACCGCGCCCAGCCAACTAAATCATCTCTATTTTATGTGGGTATGTCTGAAATCAGTAAGACTGGAAATTCCTTAAGAGAGATTCAGACAATACAGATTTCTGAGTCATAGACTTAGAAGTTACCATTGAAATCATTTAATCCAAATTCACTCAGTTTATAGGGATGCTACCTATAGAAGACCAAATAAATTAAGAATGTATGCTGAGGGCATTGTGAATCTGGCCACTGCAGAAGCGAAAGTGCAATTTCTGAAACTGGGCAGAATTTTTTTTTTCAGTGACTGTTACTTTAATTTCTGCAGTAATCACTTTTATACAAGAAAGCTCAATTTAGATGTCTCCATTATCAAAAGCACTTAATTTTACATGGATTGCCTCTAAACTTATGGTATGTCAGAGTCATGTTGTACAGGTTTTTTTCCAAGAATGAAGGATCAAATAAATACCAAGATTCTGGTCTTTGTTCAGCCTCTAAATGATGATGAAAATGTGGTCAGGTAACTCAGCCTCTTAATATTGCAGTTCCAATTTCCCCCTAGGGGAAAGGAAGATATCAGACCAAGTAAACTATAAAGAACTTCCCCAGCTGTAATGTTCTATTTTTCATTTCCCAGTATCAGAGGGAATATCTTCTATGAACCTCGCTACTCGCACTGCAAATGTATATCCTCCTCGTTTCCCCTACTGTTTCTAGCATAATTTTGAAAATGTTTAGCTTGTTGTGAACTGGAGTGAGCTCAATTTTCCTCACAGTTGTGGTACTCAGGAAAACACTTCTACTGCTTTTCCCCTCCCACCTTATCCTCGCCCCAGCTAAATATCAACAGGGTTATTTCCTTTATCTTTTTCTTTCTTTTAAAAAAAAACTGGCCGGGCATGGTGGCTCATGCCTATAATCCCAGAACTTTGGGAAGCTGAGGTGGGTGGATCATCTGAGGTCAGGAGTTCAAAACCAGCCTGGCCAACATGGTGAAACCATGTCTATAGTAAAAATACAAACATCAGCCAGACATGGTGGTAATCCCAGCCACTCGGGAGGCTGAGGCAGGAGACTCGCTTGAACCCAGGTGGTAGAAGTTGCAGTGAGTCAAGATCATGCCACTGTACTCCAAGCCTGGGTGTCAGAGTGAGACTCTGTCTCAAGAAAATAAATAAATAAAAATTTAAAAACTACTTGCATCTAGGGTTGGTTAGATAAAATACTGGATACCTAGTTAAATCTGAATTTCAGATAAGCAACAGATCATTTTTTAGTATAAGTACATCCTGTTAAATAAATTTGGCCTGCGGCTGTTCTGTATTTTAAGTCCCTACTTCAGGAATTATAACCTAACTTAACTGAAAGCCTAACTTAGGTGTACTGTATACTTTTGTAACAATTAGCTGTCTGTCAATCACAGGCCACCAATGGATTAGATCATGATCAAATAAAGCCAATGCCCAGCTGTAACCAATAAAACTGTTTCTGTACCCTACTTCTATTTCTATCCATAAATGCTGTGTGCCCACACTGCAGAGTAGAGCTCTCTGAACCACACTTTTTTTTTTTTTTTTTGAGACGGAGTTTCACTCTTGTCACCCAGCTGGAGTGCAATGGTGCGATCTTGGCTCACTGCAACCTCCATCTCCCAGGTTCAACCGATTCTCCTGCCTCAGCCTCCTGAGTAGCTAGGATTACAGGTGCCTGCCACCACACTGGCTACTTTCATATTTTTAGTAGAGAAGGGGTTTCACCATGTTGGCCAGGCTGGTCTAGAACTGCTGACCTCAGGTGATCCAACCGCCTCAGCTTCCCAAAGTGCTGGGATTACAGGCGTGAGCCACTGCACCAGGCCTCTGAACCCACTTCTTGTTCGGAAGGCTGCCTGATGTACGAATCATTCTATGCTCAAATAAATTGTTTAATTTGTCTAAAGTTTTTAACAGTCCATTTTTTTCCTTCTAAATATGATAACCCTAAAGCATCAGTCAGTTCAGTCCTGTGCAGGGATTTTTAGAAGTTAATTTTTATGTTGGGAATATTTTTGTCATTTTCCAGAAGGAAAGGTCCTACTTGTGTCAGATGAGAGTCCTGGGTAAAAGACTGTGCCTTAAGCTAAGAAAGGAAGAACAAAGATGTGTGAAATCTAACCAACAGAAACACAAGGAATTACGGGGGGTGGGGAGGGGGTGCACTTTGGCTTCCAATGGTAGTGGGGGCAGAACTTTGTAGTATTAAGGAACACACTCTTACTGAGCCCTAGGATGGACTGCTCATAACATCTATTAAACACTGCATCTCCAGATCAAGCCAAATCATATACTTGATATTGAAAAGCAAGATCACCTTGGGAAAACTGAGCTAACTGGCTTGGTAACCAGCTCAACAGTCAGAATGAACTAAAATGCAGAACTGATCAGTGAGAATTGTGGATTGGCCATGTCTGGAGCACTCACTATACGAAGGAAAATACACGCAATGCTAAGTGTCACTGCCAGATTGTTGCAAAGTTATTACCCAACGAGTATTAAAACCCATCACTACTTTGGGATTGCAATAGTGGCCACACATTCAGAAGTACAGACCTTGGTTCTGTTAGCAGCAGAACGTATCCAAGTCACAGAGCACCAAAGTATGTTCCTGGTGGTGAATCCACATGCGTCTGCAGCAAACTCAATTCTTACCTCCTCAGAAGAAAGAATTCAACTAAGGGGCATAAGGCAGAAGGAGAGACCAAGGCAAGTTTTGGAGCAGGAGTGAAAGTTTATTAAAAAGCTTTAGAGCAGGAATGAAAGGAAGTCTTTACACTTGGAAGAGGGCTAAGTAGGTGACTTGAGAGATCAAGTGCACAGTTTGACCTCTGACTTGGGTTTTTTTTTTTTTTTGAGATGGAGTCTCGCTCTGTCACCCAGGCTGGAATGCAGTGACACGATCTCGGCTCACTGCAAGCTCTGCCTGCCGGGTTTACTTACGCCACTCTCCTGCCTCAGTCTCCAGAGTAGCTGGGACTACAGGCGCCTGCCACCACGCCCAGCTAATTTTTTGTATTTTTAGTAGAGACGGGGTTTCACTGTGTTAGCCAGGATGGTCTCGATCTCCTGACCTCGTGATCCGCCCGCCTTGGCCTCCCAAAGTGCTGGGATTACAGGCGTGAGCCACCGCACCTGGCCTGACTTGGGGTTTTACACGTTGGCATGCTTCTGGGGTCTTGCGCCCTCCTTCTCCCCCAGTTCTTCCCTTGGGGTGGGCTGCCTGCATGCACAATGGCCTTTCAGCACTTGGGAGGGCCTGCATGCACAGTGTGTTTACTGGAGTTGTACGCATGCTCACCTGAGGCATTCTTCCCTTACCAATCTAGCATTCCTAGAGGAAGGTCATATACCAGTTAAACTCTGCCATTTTGCCTCTTAGTGCACATGCTTGAGCCCACTCGCCCAGCTTCCGAGATCTTATGGGGAAGCTGCTGATCACCAGTTTTGGGTGTTTTCTATCTGTTGGGAGACTGTCCTTCTCTGGCGCTGGCTGCGACCAATCATTATTTTAAACTGCCTGACCATCACTTGATGGTCGCCTGACACTCCTGGTGGAGGTTGGGGAGAGCCATCTCTTGCCCTGCTCATGCCTGACTAGCTACCTACTGTAACAGTTCCTGTCCTGGTCAGCTAATAATCTAATGGTAGGACTGCATTGAATGAGCCCCTCTCCCTTTTTTGCCGGTAGGTGTGGATAACGGTAAGATCTAGCTTTCCTACTCAAGTACGAGATTTAGTCTCAAAAGTTAAATTCTATTAAGGCCTAAATTGAGGTCCGTAGTATGATCTGGCTGACACTGGTGCAAAGTCAAAGGGCAGATACAAACTATTTCCTCCTGCAACTTCACAGGAAACCTTCCATGAATATGAAAAGTCTCTTTAGCAGTCACTTGTGTAGTCACAAACAGTCTGTCCTTCATAAGACAAGGACATAACTACTGCAACAGCCCAAAGAGCTGCTTCTCTGCAGGCCTGCTGCCAGGCTTCCGAGATGGCTTTTCTCTCTCCTCCTTCCAATTGAAACAGATATTTTTTTTTTGGCATTTTTCCCTCTTAAAATCAGGAAAGCACATTCTAAACTGCCTTTAACTAACTGATGGGGTTCTGATGAGTACAATTTATCTCCTGAATATCAAAGAGAATTACCTCGACCCCACCCCAGTAAGTGCCTCCCAATGAGAATAATGCACCCAGGCGGGCCCAGTGAACTACTCTTTAATCAGTGGCTATTTTACATGATCATAGTTATCATTAGGCAGTGTCCCGCCCACCACTTATCCTTAAGACAAGGAAGATCTCTGAAAAGGAGGCAAGGCTCCCTGCCATTCAGAAGGATCTGAAAAAAGTCAGAAGTGCTGCTTTTTGAGCGTTGTCTCCTAATCAGAAAAGGACCAGCAATCAGCCCAGCAAGCACCCACCTCTTCATGACAGTGCACAAAGATTGCATGAACAAAAAGGACTTAATCACTGCTTGGAGTGCCTTGCTCTAATTACAAACTCAGATAAATTATGCATTAACATTTGCATCTTAGGTAGTCATTTGTCACACAAAGAAAACAGGAAAATGTGTACTCATCACACAAGGCAGCTCCCAGAACTTCACCCCTTCAAAGATAAAACAACAAGGATATACTCGCAATTTCACAAGTAATGAAGAATGCTGGGGACAAGTAGAATATCGGTTTTTGTTTTTTGTACTTTTTTTTGAGACAGGGTCTCACTCTGTCACTCAGGCTGGAGTGCAGTGTCACAATCATAGCTCACCACAGCCTTCATCTCCCAGGCTCAAGTGATCCTCCTAACTCAGCCTTCCAAGTAGCTAGGACCACAGGTGCATGCCACCACACCTGGCTAATTTTTTTAAAAATTTTATGTAGAGATGGGGTCCCGCTATGTTGCTCAGGCTTGTCTTGAACTCCTGCGCTCAGGTAATCCTCCCACCTCAGCCTCCCAAAGTGCTGGGATTACAGGTGTGAGCTACCATTCCTGGCCGTGTTAGATTTTTAAATAACTTCTGTGTTGGTATTAATATCTAAATTACCTCCATTAAATGATTAGAATCCAAACTCGGACACCTGGTGTCTTCTTAGTTTTGTGTGACTACAATAGAACACCACAGTCTGGGTAGTTTATAAAGAAAAGAAATTTATTTCTCACGGTTCTGGAAGCTGGGAAGTCCAAGGGCTTGGCACTGGTGTCTACAGATGGTCATCCCACAGTTGAAGGGGGAAGGTGGAAGTGAACACACAAGACAGAGGCACCAGGCGCCAGACTCACTTTATAACAACTCACTCTCATAACTCACCTACTCCCATAACAATGACAGTCCATTCATGAGGGCTCTGCCCTCATTATCCAATCAGATCTTATTAGGCTCTACCTTTCAACACTGTTGCACTGGGGATTAAGTTTCCAACACATGAACTTTTGGGGGACACATTCAAACCACAGCATCAGGTGAAACAATTAAAATGAACCTAGGTAACACTGTAAATGTAACAAGGTAGCCCTTCCATCAGTTCTAAGCAGAGGACTCACAAACCTAACAATCTAAGGTTTAAGGTTTCTGCTTACTTTTTTATAGGCCAATTTATGTTCTCTTTGAAATAGGTTCTCTCCTCCAGCGATATTCACTATTCCAACCATAAAATGTTTATTGTGTATTCAAGCTAATATGCAGCATGCAGCTGCTTATGGCAACAACTGTGGCTAATATGCTGCACATTTAAAAGCAATCTTTAGCAATTGGAGCAAATTTTCCAATCTAACCAACTTCATGTGGGAAGACAAATCAAAAAAAAAACTCAACCCTGGGCAACCCAATCAGCAGTTATTGTATATAAAATTACCACCCAATTCTTAGCAAACACGCATGGCATTTCTAACAGCTGCCAGATCTATAGAACAGAAACAGTGCTGGTGTACTCAAAGGCAGACAAAGATCAGAAGAAACCACAGAATTAAACACTCCACAGCTCAATGACCACTTTAATTTAATCACAACACCCATAGTCCTCAGCAGTTGTTAAAAGTGTTTTTAAACAAGGAAGTTCCTCTCCCGAAGGTATATTCCATCATTACAGGCATATGGAATGTTCATGCCCTCAGGGAATCTTCTCTAAAGATTATGAATGAATTTGTCTCAGGATGGTTAAACCCATTTATTCACTACAAAATCAGAGATTACTCATGTAAACCAAAACAAGTGTTGTCATAAATTGGTGTGCTCAAAATCTTTAAAAGGAGAACAGTAAGGGTCTTACAGTGTGACAAGAATCAAGATAATTTTTGTTTCACCCTATACAATGATATTGCAACTCCAAATGAATTTTTAGTACTCCAGGAGATATGTTATGGTTAATCTGTACTAATAAAATATAACTGGACTTAATTTTTTTTTTGAGACAGTGTCTCACTCTGTTGCCCAGGCTGGAGTGCAGTGGCACAATCTCAGCTCACTGCAACCTCCACCTCCTGTGTTCAAGCAATTCTCCTGCCTCAGCCTCCCAAGTAGCTGGGACTACAGGTGTGCACCACCACACCCAGCTAATTTTTATATTTTTAGTAGAGATGGGGTTTCATCATGTTGGCCAGGCTGGTCTCGAACTCTTGACCTCAGGTGATCCACCCACCTCGGCCTCCCAAAGTGCTGGGATTACAGGTGTGAGCCACCACATCCGACCCTTAAAATATTTTTAAACAATATATGTACTTAGCTAATTCATTTATCTACAAATTAACAGCTGTTAATCTATAGACTATCTGGAATTGTTGCAATTTGCTGATGAGCTATAGGCTTTTAATTTGGGAGTAGGGTATGGGGGTAGGGGGGTAAGTAAGTAAACTGAAAATATTCCTTAGAGCAGTGGCTGCACAGTTCAAAAATGCTGATGCCACAGGCCCAACCCAGACCACTTAATCAGACTCTGGGGCATGGGGCCAGGCATCTGTATTTCATCAGTAACAGCCAAAGTCTCTCCAAGGTCATCCTAATTAGCAGCTGGGGTTAAAATCAACTGTCTTAAAGAGACAGACATTATACTCTAACTTCCAAGGAAAACTGAGGGTCAACTTTATATTGCTGGCCTAAAAACCATAAGGAAATGTCAGAAATAAAATGGGCTGTGTTAGGCTGGTGCAGTGGCTTATGCCTATAATTCCAGCACTTTCAGAGGCCAAGGCAGGAGGATGGGCCAGGAGTTTGAGACCAGCCTGGTCAACATAGTGAGATCACAGCTCTACAAAACAAAAAGCAAAACAGATGTTGCAAAGGGTTGGTACTGTCCTTAACCATGGAAAGTAGAAAATAATTATAAATAAAATAACTAACTTCCTAAAATTGGTAAGAACTTTGGTGACTCTTCATCTCAATCATAATCATTCATTTTCTTGAGGTCCAAATGACAATGCAAGACAGCAGCTTTTAGAAATTGAAAAATGTGATACAAATTAAGTGCCTAAAACATATAATCTTGAGCATGCCTGCACAATATAGTAACTGCTTAATAACTAATGTTTACTGAGTTCTTACTGAGTTCTAAAGCCAGAGAGAATATTTTCTAGATAGTATCTTATTTAATTCAGACAACTGAGCTCTATAATTTTCTTCATAGTATAGACAAGGAAATGGGCTCAGAGAGATTAAGTTATATAATGAAATCACACACCATGGGGTGGCGGTTGGGCAAGGATCCTGGGCTTTGAACTCCTCTATAATGTAGTAGTTATTGAAGAAAAAAGGGAATGAATGATATTTAAATGGCTGGTTGGTTTATTTATTTATTTATTTATTTATTTATTTTGAGACGGAGTCTCACTCTGTCACCCAGGCTGGAGTGCAGTGGCAGAGGCTCAGCTCACTACAACCTCTGCCTCCCAGGTCCAAGCGATTCTCCTGCCTTAGCCCCCCAAGTGGCTGGAACTATAGGTGCCTGCCACCACGCCCAGTGAATTTTTGTATTTTTGGTAGAGACAGGGTTTCACCATGTTGGCCAGGCTGGTCTCAAACTCCTGACCTCAGGAGATCTGCCTGTCTCAGCCTCCCAAAGTGCTGGAATTACAGGCGTGAGCCACCGAGCCCAGCCTTAAATGACTGGTTTCAAAAGATAGGACTCCATTTGCTTAGGTACCGCCCTGCAGAATGATTAACCAACTGTCGTTTTGCCAATTTTGGAAGAAAGAAAGATGTGTTGCGCAGTCACAGTCAATTCTCAGTACCAACAATTCGTTAGACAATTCTAATGTCATATTAAATAGTAAGCTAAATGATAAGGCCAGGAGGCAGAATAAGTGAGTGAAAAGAGAAGATCTGTCAAATGTGGGTCTGAGTTATTGTCCTCTATGTTGCAGCTACTTCTAGGTTAAACTTATCAATGTCCCAGGAAGCAAAGAGTACGTACAGCAAGGAAGGCCTTTAAAATAGAAGACTTAGGCTGGGCACAGTGCTCATGCCTAAAATCCCAGCACTTTGGGAGGCTGAGGCAGGAGGATCAGTTGAGTCTAGGAGTTTGAGACCAGCCTGGGCCACAGAGTGAGAGTGCATCTCTATAAAATAAAAAAATTTAAAAATTAAAAAAAATAGAAGACTTAGAAAAAGCTCAGAAACATAATTAAGACATACATTTAATTTGAAATTACATTCAATAAATTAATTTAAAATATCTAGATATTTATTAGGTTAACTAAAATTAACATTCTGATCTTTCACAACATGGGATGGAAATTTTATGAGGAAAGTTATACAAATATATATGGAAGATAATACTACTTAATAAAGTTGGCCCTAAATCCCAATACTTGAAGAGCAGAGGGTCTAAAGTTTCTCCTCTGTCCCTAATAACTCAACTTTAATGTATTAAAAATAAATCAGGCTGGATGCAGTGGCTCATGCCTGTAATCACAGCACTTTGAGAGGCCGAGGTTGGAGGACTGCTTGAGGCCAGGAGTTCAAGACCAGCCTGGGCAACATAGCAAGATCCCATCTCTACAAAAAATGCAAAAAATTAGCCAGGCATGGTGGCGCATGCCTATGGTGCCAGCTATTTGGGAGGCTGAGGTGGGAGGATCATCTGAGCCCAGGAGGTTGAGGCTGCAGTGAGCCATGTTTGTACAACTGCACTCCAGCCTGGGCAACAGGGCAAGACCCTGTTTCAAAATAAGTAAATAAATCAAAACCAATAAACAGACGGTGGTGACATGAAGAAAGTCACAATAAGGTCAGAAATGTTCATGACTCTGCTGAGGTCTGACCAATCCTGGGAAGAACTACAAAGCCATAAGCCCCTAGCAGTAAGGTTACAAGATACAACCTTGAAGCAACACCCCTCTATAAAGGTAAGAAGTCAGACACAGACATCACACAAAATGTCTTATTATTTTCTTTCACATTGAAGTTCCCTGGACAATTCAGCCCTAAAATAATAGTTTCACAAATTGCAATCTCTCATCTCCCACTTTCCCAGCCCTTTGTAATTTGCCAATGTAATAAAATACTTACAAATGGAAACACATCTCTGTGGATTCTGGGTGCATCTGTGCATACTTTTCAATGTGTATAACCTGGCTTCCTTCCTTTCCTCACAAACTGTTAATATATTAGAAAACCAAACTGATTCCAGAGATCTTCTGTGAGTTACTGTATTGAATTATGGGGTGTCACATTGTCTTTTATCAGTCTCATGTCTTATAAATTATCTGATATAATCTAAAGAAGTGGGAACCATCTTAGACCTCTGGGAACCAAAAAATTTGTATTTTGTCTCTTTGTAATGCACATCCTAGATATATTACCCTCTGAACACACAAACACAGACTTGTATCTGGCTCTTGAGGGAAGGCCTATCAAGTAGCTCTGCAGGTGTCTGATTCACCAGTATCCATTTATTTTTCTAATTTATAGAGGTTAGTTGAAACTGCAAATAGAAAACACATTTATTACTGGTTTACAAGACCCTTGTGAGTTAAAAGATAGCCTGTATCTGGGCAATTCTACTCTGATTTACATCACAAAAGAGATGCTTCCTCACTTACCCTGAAAGTAAGTTTTCTATATCTTCATTGACTAACTTTCAGTCCCTGTTCACAATCTATATACTTTAAAGTTCATACAAAGTAGTCAGATGTTTACCTTAAATTGTTTCACTCCTTTTTGTCATTTCTTTTTGACACAAATGAATTTACCTCTTTGAGTTTTTGTATATTTGTTTTTTTAAGTTACAGGGACAGATTATATTATTAATTGAAAAAACATTAAATTTGGAATCAGGAGTCCTGCTTCCTGTCACCAAACATCTGTGTCATTTAAGTCACAGCCTCTCTGGAGCTTTAATTATCTCACCAATAACATGGAGGCACTGGGGCAGAGGATTTCTGAGGCTGTTTCCTATCCATGACCCAATAACACAAATGTTTCCAAATATCCGGAGCAAAGAGGCCCTTTCTTTTCCTTCTCTCAGAACAGAGTCCAACAGGAATGAACCTGATGGTTGGATGGGACAGTCTACCCAATTAGTGCCTTTCTCAACTTTGGAGTCTTAGCGGAACACAGTAATGATTACAAATCTTGGCTCTATCCCAATTTACTGTGAAACAAAACAAGTCATTTAGCTATTTAATACTGCCATTTCCTCAGCCATACAATAACCTTGTAGAAGCTTGAACAAGTTATTTAACTTCCTTGAGTTTTGGGTTTTTAATTGCCCAGGGACAACAACAATCTCAAAATATACAGATAAACTTCACTGGCATCCTTGGGACCTCCTGATCAACATGGTGCTTGAATACTGAAAGTAAATTAAATCCTAAAAGCTGCAAAATAACAAACATGTAACTCTCAGGGGACAAAAATGCTGCTCTTAAAGCACTCTCCACAAGGAGTCATCAAAATCGGGCATGGTGGCTCACACTTGCAGTCTCAGCACTCTGGGAGGCCGAGGCAGGTGGATTGCTTGAGCTCAGGAGTTGGAGACCAGCCTGGGCAACGTGGTGAAATCTTGACTCTACAAAAAGTACACAAGTTAGCCAGGCATGTGGTAGCACATGTCTGTAGTCCCAGCTACTTAAAGAGGCTGAGATGGGAAAACCACTTAAGCCTGGGAGGTCAAGGCTGCAGTGAGCAGCGATCACACCACTGCACTCCACCCTGGACGACAGACTAAGACCCCGTCTCACACACACACACAAAAATAATAAAAATTAAAAAAAAAAAAGTCATCAAAGAGGGTCTGCAAACAAAAGAGTAAAGAAGAAGGAAAAGGAAGTCACACTTGCTTATTACCTTTTATATGCTGGATCATTGTATTTTTTACGTTTCCCTCATTCCTAAGTCACGTGCCCAGGGATTCCTGTTCTAGCAAAGCGGAACATATGAAAACGTGTTCTCTCGACCACCTCCCCTCTCACTGTCCCAACTCCCATCTAATCCAAATTCCATTTTGCCACTAGGATTATTTTTCTAAAAATACTTTTCTGATCATATCACTTTCACTGTCATGACCAATTCAATTTACCTTCGTGCAAATTGGGAAAGGCTTCTCTTCGTCAATGAAGATTTTAATTATGATATTACTGCACATCATGAAAGCCCTGCTCAAAGAAGAGGTCAAATGTTACAGCTTTACCTTCATAAAGAGAAGCCCACACTCTCAGCTTTTCACTACACCCCCACCACATGCCAGGGCACGTGTGCTGTAAGCACGTACATTTAATTGGCCCATGCCTAGGAAAGGTGACTGTGTCAGGTTTCAAAGTGGGTGAGAGACAGGGATTAGGAACCTAAGAGTGGCAGAGAAGAAGTGACAAGAGAAGCCACCTTTGGGGACATCCAGGAGGCAGATGCAATGGTGCAGCAGACACATGTATGTGTACCATAAAGTGGTGTGTGTATGTGCATAGAGGGTGGGCTGGTGGAATTCATGAAGGAAGAGTTCTCTTCTGCAGCTCCAGGATTCAACTGTGAAGCCTGAAATCTCTACACCAGCCACTCTCATGTTAGCTCATGTCTAGGATGTGAATGGCACTCCCTTTGATGTGGTGTCTGTCCTTCCGGAGGGCACAATATAAGAATCTGACATGGACTCCTGGAGTGTCACACTCCTGCTCACTTTGTTAATTCCTCATTGCTCAAAGAAAAAAATTCAAATCCCTCAGCAAAATCGTATTCAACATCCTTCAGAAACTGGCTCCACATCTCACTATTTCTTCTTCTCAACATACTCCCTAAGGTTTCTAAATACTACGCTATTCATGATTCTTCCAGTAAGCCCTGCATTTTCATTCCTCCATGCCTGAGGAACCTTGGGTTGTTTTTCTGCTTGCATTTCTTTCTTTTTTCTTTTCTTTTTTGAGATGGTGTCTCACTGTCACCTCAGCTGGAGTGCAGTGGCCCAACCACAGCTCTATATTCAAAAATCCAATTCATCCACCTCCAACAAATGCCACCTTTCCTGTGCAGTTTTTTCTAACTACTTTCAGCAGAATTAATCACTACTATTTCAGTTATTCATTCAAGAAACAGTTAATGAACATCTCAGTCTGTTATATTTATCATTGTATTACAACATTTTAGTTTACATATTGAAGAATTCCTTCGAGACATTTATATTCCCAGAGACTGGTATGGTACCCAACATATATTAGGTGCTCAATAGAGGAATGCAACTTTACATCCCCAGTACTCTATCCAGTAAGCAAAATAGAGAGTAACCTTTATCAATTAGCTCATGCATTCTCAAAGGGGCAGTGTGCCTCTGTGGTGGAGGGGAGGCAAAAATAACTTATTGGGAGGTGTTATAGACTGAATTATATCCCCCTAAAATTCATATGTTGAAGCCCTACCCTCTAGGACAGCAGAATGTGACTGTATTTAGAGACACAGTCTTTAAAAAGGTAATTAGGGTTAAATGAGGTCATATGAGTAGGCCATAATCCAATGTGACCAGTGTCCTTATAAGAGAAGAAAATGTGGACACACACAGATGCCAGGGTGTGCATGCATAGAGGAAAAGTCATGTGAACACACAGCCAAAAGGGGGAGGTGCCTCCGGAGAAATCAAACCTGCTGACACCTTTATCTTGAACTTCTTCTCATCTCCAGAACTGTGAGAAAATAGATTTATGTTGTTTAAGCCACCCAGTATGTAGTATTTTATTATGGTGGCCTTAGCAAATTAACAATAAAGGGAGCTAAACATCGTAGATATTACAATGATTTGTGGCCCTCCAAAGTTCAACCCTTACTATTTATCTCGTTAGAATAAAATTAAAAGATTCTGGGCCAGGCACGGCAGCTCATGCCTATAATCCCAGCACTGTGGGAGGCTGAGGCAGGCAGATCACTTGAGCTCAGAGAGTTCAAGACCAGTCCGGAAACATGGCAAAACTCCATCTCTGCCAGGAGCGGTAGCTCATGCCTGTAATCCCAGGACTTTGCAAGGCCATGGCAGGCGGATCACTTGAGGTCAGAAGTTCAAGACCAGCCTGGCCAACGTGGTGAAACCCGGTCTCTAATAAAAGTTCAAAAATTTGCTGGGCATGGTGGTACATGCCTATAAGCCTAGCTACTGGGGAGGTTGAGGCATGAGAATCACCTGAACCCGGGAAGTGGAGGCTGCAGTGAGCCGAGATCACACCACTGCACTCCAGCCTGAACAAGAGAGAGAGACTCCAGCTCAAAAACAAACAAACAAACAAACAAACAAACAAACAAACAAAAAAACCATCTCTACAAAAAATACAAAATTTAGCTGGGCATAGTGGCACATGTTTGTAGTCCCAGATACTCAGAGAAGAGGGTGGTGGGAGCTGAGGTGTGAGGATTGCTTGAGCCTGGGAGGTTAAGGCTGCAGTGAGCTGAGATCATGCCACTGCACTCTGGCCTGGGTGACAGGGCAAGACCTTGTCTCAAAAACAAAGAAAATTCATAATCTCAAAAATGTAAAATTTTAAAAAATTTTAAAAAGATTTTTAGTAATAAATATAACTCATTTAAATTTAATTTTCCTCCTTAAAGGACAGTAACAAAAAAAAAAAAAAACAGGTGAGAAACACTAAACCAGCTAACGCAGAAATGTATTTTCCATCACGGTGTTTGAGTTTGGACTGATACATACACACTAGAAAATAGTAACTCCTGGCTGTGCGCAGTGGTTCAAGCCTGTAATCCCAGCACTTTGGGAGGCTGAGGAAGGCAGATTACTTGAGTCCAGGAGTTCGAGATCTGCCTGGGTAACATAGCAAGACCTTGTCTCTACAAAAAATAAATAAATTAGCCAAGCAGGTGGCGCACATCGGTGGCCTCAGCTACTTGGAAGACTGTGGTGGGAGGATTGCTTGACCCCAGGAGGTCAAGACTGCAGTGATCACACCACTGCACTCCAGCCTGGGTAGCAGAGCAAGACTCTGTCTCAAAAAATAAATAAATAAATAAATAAATAAATAAATAAATAAATAAATAAATAAAATAGTTACTCCCTAAAACCTATATACAACATATTCTTTTGGTGTGTGGACATGTGTGTATGTGTGTGCATGTGTGTCAGAGCCTCAGTCTATTGTCGAGGCTGCAGGTGCAATGGCATGATCATAGCTCACTGCAGCCTCAACCTCGGGGCTTAACTGATCTCCCACCTCAGGCTTCAGAGTAGCTGGAACTACAGGCATGTGCCACCATGCCCGGCTATTTATTTATTTATTTATTTATTTATTTATTTATTTATTTTGGTAGAGACGGCCTCACTATGTTGCCCCATCTGGTTTTTAACTCCTGGGATCAAGCAAGCCACCCACCTCAGCCTCAAAAAGTGCTAAGATTATAGGCGTGAGCCACAACGTCCAGCCCCTACATCCCTGCTCTTTACACCTTCCTTCTTATTACACAGGGTCAGTGTGTCCTCCCTGCAGTGAGGTCTGAAATCCACCTTCTCCTGCCTTCTCAGGATCTTGTCAGTTTTTACTTCTTGATGGGATCATTTATAATAACATTTAGATATTTCTGAAGTTTGTCCCACCTCAACAAACATCTAACACGGCTTTTGCACCATCATCCTTCGCAGAGGTTCCTAATCACCAGCAACCTCCACTTAGGTCAAGTCCAACGGGTGGGTCTCAGTTCTCACCTTACAACGACCGCTTGGCAGAATTTCTCCATTTACCTCCTTCCTAAAAGACTCTTTTCCCTTGACTTTTACCTCACATTCATCTGTCTTTCCTGACTACCCAGGCCACTCCTCTCCCACCTAGCTTCCTCCCTCTGGCCATTACTAGTGGAATTCTTCAAGGCTCAGTCCTAGCCCCTTCTTCCTTCCTGCTTTACATCTGTACAGATTACTTCATTCATGACATCAATTCCCATGTTTCCAACCTTCCTGTAGGCTTCCCGTTTTCCTCAATGTACCCCTATCCACCCATTTGTGCAGTCTTGCGTCTGCCCTCTTCCCATTGCTCCTAGGGTAAAAACTCAGAAATCCCAATCTTATTGATGTACAATGCCCACCATAAGCTACTCCCATGGATGTCTCAAGAGTTTTACCCATGATTACTGCAAGCTTTTCTCAACACCTGCTGGCAGTAACCAGACAGCCTCTCTATTACCCTCTTGCTATTTCTGACCCTCCAGAGGGGACTCCCTGAGGCCACGTTTCCATGGTCACTGCCAGACACATTTTCAGACAGGATACAAGTAAGTAGTTTATTCACTTATCAAATATCAGTACAATCATTCTCTTCCTTTCATAAACTAGCGCTTTGCTGCATACAAAAACCGAACCTCTTGAAACACATATTCCAACTCTATAGTTCATATGAACTAATTATATACCTCAGCTTGTATACAGAAGGAAAATACATGTTTTGATCCAGAAGAAAACTATGCAGCATATTCTTATCTGTAGGTTGTTAATGCTGGTGAGTTCAACCTTCTGAATTCATTTTAAGTCATTTTCATGTGCTACTGTTACGTATTTTTACTTTTTGGAGACAAGGTCTTGTTCTGTTGCCCAGGCTGGAGTGCAATGGCACAATCATGGCTCACTGCAAGCTTTGCCTCTGGGCTCAAGCCATCCTTCTACCTCAGCCTCCTGAGTAGCTGGGACCACAGGTGCATGCCACCACACCCAGCTAATTTTTTTTATTTTTTGTAGAGTTGGGGTTTCTACATGTTGCCCAAGCTAGCCTTGAACTCCTAGGATCAAGTGATCCACCCGCCTAGGCCTCCCAAAGTGCTGGGATTTACAAGCATGAGCCACCACACCCAACCAGCTACTGTTACTTAAATGAGAAAGTACATTCATGTTGTGTATTGCTTATAAAAATCAGCTAATGTTCTAAATAATGAGTTTCAGAGGTGGTCACATGACTATACACTTGTCACAACTCAATTGTGCAGTAAAAATTGGTACATTTTATTGCATATAAAATTATACTCCAGTAAAGCTCATAAAAGGTAAAATTTTTAAAAAATAAGCTTCCTACCATGACAAAGGCAAAAATCAAACAATAAAAACCATCACCCCACTTCCATTTCTGTACATTTGTCTAGTGGAGGCTTCAACAAATAGTTCATTAGCTTCCTTTAGGTGTTTAAAGGCACATGGTAATAATATTAAAAGCTTGCTTCTAAAAAAAATCAAAACAAGGAAATAAAACACACAACAATATCTCACATAGAAATTCATACTGGATCTAAAAATTTAAATCTTTATAAAATGAAGTGTCCAGGTATGAAGTCCCACAAGTACACTAGAGTACTTAAATCACATTTATGACCCAAGTCCCTCATCAAGATAAGCACCTTAAGAGAACAGGTTCCAATCTGGTTTATCTTTGCATACCTAATACATAGCAAGATTCCTGGTAAAACATCTGTGTTAATGCTGTTGACGTGAAGGGATGAATCCTCGATTTCAAGGAGCTCACAGTCTAGTGGAGCGGGAAACAGTAACTAAAGGACACTCTGGTCAATGTTCACTGGCAAGTGAAGAGAAAGAGTGACAAACGTATTACTCGAAAGATTAAGGATGAGGAGCCCTTATGAACCAGGTCTATGTTGCAAGTTGGCTTTTGTCACTCAGCATCCATGTCCCCACTTTTCTGATAACAGAACAAACTTTTTCATCGGGGAACCATCCCTCTCCACTCAAACTAGGACACCCTTTGATCAGTGCCAGTAGAGCATCAAGTTTCCAATTACACAGTTTGATTCTGAAATTACGCCCTTTTGTGAAAGTTCATTCAGATATGCTTGGTGGAAGGGATGGAATGGAACCCGGACCTATGCTGGAACCACCTTAAAGCTACCAGGGGCATATGGAAAAAGCCACAGGAAACACACTGAGTCCTGAGGACAAAGCACTTGGGCTTCCTGGTTTTCTAGCACAGCTAGATCTAGCATAGGCCAATAAGCACCTCCATTTTCTCCTCACACCAGTTTGTGCTTGTTTTCTGAAGGAAAGAGTCCTAATACAGACTTAATAAACATGTAAGAGTTTGTGGCTTGTTGTAGTGGCTCACATCTATAATCCTGGACTTTGGGAGGCTGAGGCAAGGAGGATCGCTTGAGCCCAGGAGGTCAAGACCAGCCTGGGCAACATGGAAAAAACCCCGTCTCTACTAAAAAATTATTTAAAAATTAGCCAGGCATGTGGTGGCACATGCATGTAGTTCCCAGCTACTGCTGCGGTGGGTAAGTTGCTTGGGCCCAGGAGGTCAAGGTTGCATTGAGTCATTATTGTACCACTGCACTCCGGCCTAGATGACAGAGCAAGACCCTGTCCCCTACCTCCAAAAAAAAAAGTTTGTCAAGTAGAGGACAGTGCACAAATAGGGATCAAGGCTGGCAGGCCTGGAGCATTACTCCAATCCAGTGACAGGGCTATCAGATCATATCAAGCACTCCTGAGGCTTCTCACTGCCTTCAGCACCACATGGAAGGCCCCTCACAATCTGGTTCTGGCCTCCCTTAAAAGATTCATCCTGTCACCAATTCCATCCCCACCCCCATACTCAAAGGCAAACAAGCATGCATAGCAATGGTGGGATCTGCAATGGTAGATCCTTCAATGGTGGCCCACTACTCCATGGACTTTCATGTACTTCTATGCCTTTGCTTAGACCAATAAAATTCTCATTTACTCCTTCACTAATGGAAGTCCTGCTCACTTGTCAAAGCCCTGCTTTAAATGTTCCAACTCTGGAGAGGAGGGAAGATTCTCTCACGGTCAGATTGAGTCATTCCTTTGTTCTAACGGTATTTTGTTTAACATCTTAAAGCATTTGCCAAGCTCATTATTCAGCTGTTCGTACTCACAAATGAATGATATTGGCCTTGAATTTGTTCCACAAGCCTATTCCACTTAAAGCACCATTTTGTATATTCAAGCACCAGCATGATAAGGAGTATTTTTTCTTTTTAAATAAAAGAGGTAGGATTTTAAAAAAATTATTCTTTGAACAGCAATAATGCATATTTTGGGTTGTATCTTAACCATTAACTAAACTCACTTCCAAAAAATAAAATTTAAGTCAGCATTCCGCTTCTCTCAGGGCAGTACATGGGTCATTTATTGTTTTGAATCAGTTACTGGGCTTTCACTTCTCTATTCTGAATATGGAATTAAAAAATCAGGCCCGGCACAGTGGCTCAAGCCTGTCATCCCAGCACTGTGGGAGGCTGAGGCGGGCAGATCACCTGAGGTCAGGAGTTCAAGACCAGCCTGGCCAACATGGTGAAACCCCGTCTCTACTAAAGATACAAAAATTAGCTGGGTGTGGTGGTGGGCACCTGTAATTCCAGCTACTCAGGAGGCTGAGGCAGGAAAATCTCTTGAACCGGGGAGGTGGAGGTTGCAGTGAGCCAAGATCGTGCCACTGCACTCCAGCTTGGGCAACAGTGAGATCCCATTTCAAAAAAATAAAAAATCAATCAATCAATCAGTTATTTTATGTCATAAGTGCTTTCAAATTATGTGTGTTTTTCTCACTGGGTTTTGTTATTTAACAAAGGCTAACATACTGAAGGTTCATGGGATCCAAATCTTGCAGATGCTATACTTACTGTTCCCTGTTTTTCCTCCTGGTTCTTATACAATCAATGTATATTATTTTTAATGCTTTCTACACTTTGGTGAACACATGTGATTTCATATGTGATTCAAACTAATGCAAAATGTCAGTTGAATAAGCTGTATTACAATAACAACCTTAATACTGTGCACAGTACCTCATTTTGTGGTCTTTACATTTTAACCAGAGCCACATAAATTATTATTATTTTTTTTTTTTGAGACAGAGCCTCACTTTGTTGCCCAGACTGGAGTGCAGTGGTGCAATCTTGACTCACTGCAACCTCTGCCTCCCAGGTTCAAGTAATTCTCCTGCCTCAGCCTCCCGAGTAGCTGGGATCACAGGCGCCTGCCACCACATCTGGCTAATTTTTGTATTTTTAGTAGAGACGGGGTTTCACTATGTTGGCCAGGCTGGCCTCGAACTCCTGACCTCTGGTGATCTACCTGCCTTGGCCTCCCAAAGTGCTGGGATTACAGGCATGAGCCACCGCACCCGGCCCAGAGCCACACAAAATTCTAATCAATAATTACTAGTAAAACTTCACTGGAGCTTTTGAGACCATATCTAGAGACACATTTTCCTTTTCAAGCTTCTTGTGGAATAAAAGCAAGCATTCAAAATGCTACTTTCCTGGACTTCCAAAGGAATTAATTCAATAGTCCTTATCTTCAGAGAAATGCCAGGGGTACAGGAAAGACTAGCCTTAGCCAAGAAGTGAGTTCACTCTAGGCTTTTCTGGGGCATGCAGAGGTTCTAATTGGCTGTCCCAATATGTGATGTGAAGATTTCACTCTTCCATGGGCTTAGATAAACTGACTAGGATGCTTCCCCAGACCCATCATTCACTGAGTCCTCTGCAAATTCTTTATGTTGGCTGGTTACCCTTTCCAGAAATAAAAGTTGCATAAATGTTGTAAACAATGGTTTCCCTCCCTCCTATATAGCTGGGATGTGATGTGGGAGGGATGAGAAAGGACTAGCAAACAATTCCTTTGGGAACATTTCTTCATGATATAGTTAGCCACACTAAAAACAGAACAAAACAAAAATAAAAACCACCTAGGAGGTCTGACGCCTGGGATGTGGCAGGAGAGCTGGCGACAAGCAGGGCAGTAGGTGCTGAGGCACTGCCAACCCAGAGAAGCCTTCCCTGCAAGAGCAGGTGCCAGCTATTGGAACTGGGAGGACTGTGTAGCCACAGTCACACTGCTGAGAATGGAAGGGAGAGAAGAAAGGAGCCTGTCCAGGCTTTTCAGTGCTGCCCTCCTTTATTTCAGCTGGAGAAAGTTCCCACACAGGGCTTCACAGGACACTCACAGCACATTAATTGCCAGCAGTTCACAAGGCAACAAAAGCCAAGGTGCAAGTAACTGGCTATTAGTCCCTGAGCTATAATTTCACTCTATTTTGGGGCATTAGGCAGGACATGGGAGAAAACAGGTTTGAACAACATGTCCAAGAGTGCTATTACTCTGCAAGAGGGCATTAAGCCCAACATAAATAGAAGTGTCAGGCTCAAGGGTAATAGCCTGGAGCATTCATTCATCTCTGAATTTTTAAAAAAATAAATGCTACATTTATCAAATACTCTGTGACACAGTGCTAAATGCTTTTAATAGGTTTTATTTTTATTTTTCTCCTTATTTTATAAAAATTATTTTTTAGTAATAAAATGATTATCTCTTTTCTTAATTGCCTTTAATATATCTCACTGAATCCTGACAATAGCCCTGAGGTAGGTATTACTGTCCCCATTTTGTGGATGAAAGAGACCTATCACCATCACTTCACAGGAGAAACTGAGGTTCAGAATAATTAAATGCTGCACCAGACATCAATCAGGCCAGGGTCTGAAACTTCAGCTTCTGCCTTCAATTCCAATGCTCTGTCAAGGTACAGCACATACTCTCTTCATTAACGGAGTGACAGTAGTATACGATACTTTATCTTGACCTTTCTGAAATGGCAAGAATATGCATGACTCACAGTATATAAATTGTTTTTTATTTTTTTAAATTTATTTCATACACATTTAGTTAAACTTCCCATTAAATGCTGGAAACTAGGAGGGGGGGAAAATAACCTCCATTTTTAAGAAGTCAGTATATTCTATACACACTCCCATACACTTCAATTATGTTCTTTGTCAAAATGCTCTTTGAACAAAAAAGCAAAAAGACATTCATTTAAAAACATGAACAAATTTAAAATGTAAAGTTTTATTTGCTCTAAAATTTGGGTTCCTTTGGTTTTACAAAGACTGTTATGTAATTCAGTAGCACTTTGAAAATTACTAGACCACCTCATTTCCATCCCCAATCAACCTTACAGAATCTCTTTCAATGAAGTCCAGAATCAGTGCAGATTTTATGTATTAAACACAATTCCAAAACAGAGCAAGAGACATTCATTGGCAAAGAAAAATGTGTTCTTGCTTCCTTGCCTCATGAGAATAGAAGCTTTTATGTGTGAAATAACACGTCTGCCAAATGACCTTAAGTTAGTCTTCACAAAATGTTAAGCAAAAAAGCTCCACAAACCAAAAACCAAAATACCTCCCTTCATGCCAGGCATCTTTACAGCCAATTGCCAAAACAAATGATGCAATAAAACCTTGCTGATTCTCTCTCCACAATGCTCTCTATTCCCTCTGTGAAACATCCTGGCTGAAGGACACTGGATGCCCAGGACTCATAGACTACTTTCTGATACCCAAACACACCCACTTCCACCAGCTGAGTTTAATATATACCAAGAGTCAGTTCTGTTTCCTCCCAAACCTGTTTACACCAGTTGTGCCTGACAACATTATTTAATTATATAAATTGAGAAAATATGAATATAAAAATGAAGTTTTTCAATAGAAATTAACTAAAATTATTTGGAAAAGCTCCATAATTACTAAAATAAACTGCTACTGAATTAAATGTTGTCAAGATATCTTACATTTGAGGGGTGGGGGGTCTGATAAAATTTAAATGGATTCTGTCCTCAGATTGGTTCACAGGTATCTTATGGTCTCCATTTCTTTCTTTCTTTCTTTCTTTTCTTTTCTTTCAGGTATCCATGGTCTCCATTTCTTTCTTTTTTTTTTTTTTTTTTTGAGACAGTCTGTCACTCTTTCGCCCAGGCTGGAGTGCAGTGGTGCAATCTCAGCTCACTGCAACCTCTGCCTCCATGGTTAAAGTTATCCTCCCATCTCATCTCAGCCTCCCCAGTAGCTAGGCCTACAAGCATGCACCACCACGCCTGGCTAATTTTTGTATTTTTAGTAGAAACGGGGTTTCACCATGTTACCCAGGCTGGTCATGAGCCCCTGACCTCAAGTGATCTGCCCGCCTTGCCCTCCGAAACTGCTGGGATTACTGGCGTGAGCCACCACGCCTGGCCTCCACTTATTTCAAAGAACTCAAACTAGGAATTATGAACTCTATATTTAGATGTAGGTCATACAAGATAGGTAAGGTAAAACCTTCTTCACTGATCACACTGAAAAAGCTTTAGATATACATCAAATTTGTGGTGAATCAAAGTGTACTTACTGTTGTAAGTTAACATTCACTATAAATAAGTGTAAGCCAGGCACAGTGATATGCATCTGTACTCCTAGCTACTCAGGAGGCTGTGAGGCAGGAGGATTGCTTCAGTCCAGGGGTTTGAGTCTGCAATGTGCTATGATCACACCTATTAACAGCCACTCTACTACAGCCTGGGCAACACAGCAAGACCTCCATTTTTAAAAACATAAAAAAAAAAAAAGACATGAATTTTCTTTTGAGACAGGGTCTTGCTGTGTTGCCCAGGCTGGAGTGCAATGACACCATCTCAGCTCACTACAGCCTCAACCTCCTGGGTTCAAGCAATCCTCCTGCCTCAGCCCCTCCAAGTAGCTGGGACTACAGGTGCATGCCACAACGTCCAGCTAATTTTTGTATTTTTAGTGGAGACATGGTTTTGCCACATTGCCCAGGCTGGTCTCGAACTACGGAGCTCAATCTACCCACCTTGGCCTCCCAAAGTCCTAGGATTACAGGCGTGAACCACTGTGACCAGCCACAAAAAAGTACATGTAATTTTAATGATCCCTTCAGGAAGACTTTTCATTTACCAATAAACTATCACTAAAATAAGAGGATTTCTCCTGCAATTCTTTCTGAGGCAACTTTTTAACGCTATCATAGTTCACCTTCTAGGGCAACCCTAATTTCAACATCTACCCTATTCATTATTTGACAAATATTTTCTCAATACTTTGCCAATAAATATTGCCCAGATTGATATTTCAATTAATCTGTTTATTACAATTCTCCACCAAAAGTAAAAATAGGACTAAAATGCATTGGCAATGTTCTCCCCAAACTGGAGATGCCATGGAGTATACAGTGGATTGTACATCTGACCCTGCATACTTCCAGCATCAGTTCCACAGGCAGGGCAACTTTCTATGAAGTCCAGGTGTTTCTTTTATAGCCCAGTTTTTACAATACAAATTGTACATAATGGGACTGAATATTGAAGGGAATACAATTTACATTATAAGGAATGACAGTGGTCACGATTAGGTCAGGGTCAAAAACCAGCAAGCACCAGGTACATGGGACAAAATATCTGTACAACTTATTTTTGATGCTTGCACTTTCTTACCATTTTATTTCAACCTGTTTATATCAAAATAATGATATAGAAATAAATGATTTTGGTCTGGTCTTTCACATAGCCAGCTTTATGAAGGTAACTAAACTCCAGGCCCCCATACAAAAGGGGTCTGAAAATATCAGTTCCCACTTGCTGCCTTACAGTGTACAACATACTTTTACATTTATTCTTGTTTTCTTATTTTTTAGAGACAGGGTCTTGCTCTGTTGCCCAGGATGGAGGGCAGTGGCATGATCATAGCTCACTGTAACCTTGAACTCCTGGGCTCAAGTGATCCTCCTGCCTCAGCCTCCCAAGTAGGTGGGACTATAGGCATGGCACCATGCTTCGCTAACTTATCTTTTTTATTTTTTATTTTTTTTTTGGTAGAAACAGGCCTCACTATGTTGCCCAGACTGGTCTGGAACTCCTGGGCTTAAGCAATCCTCCTGCCTCTGCCTCCCAAAGTGCTGCGATAATAGGCATGAGCCACCACACTTGGCCACATACAGTATTTCAATTGACCCTCAGAAAACTCTATCAGGTAGCCATGGTATACATCATTATCTCCATCTTACAGACAATGTAGATAACCCTTAGGTAACCTTCCCAAAGTTATGCAGCCTCTTGGTGGTACAGCCAGATCTAGAACCCAAGACTTGAAACCCTATCTTCACTCTATGACTATTTTCTTTTCTCAAATACATCAAATCATGCCACATTTTAAGCATTTAAACTCTAATCAAATTACAGAACTCATATATCTGAGGATTCTTTAATAGTAAATAACCAACACTTATTGAAGGCTAACTATGTGGCAGGCACTATGCTAGGCACTGACCATGTATGATGGCATCTGATCTTATTACAGCCCTTTACTAGGGATGCAACAGATTCATGCATCTAAGCAAGTCAGTGAGCTGGGACTTGAACCCAGGCAGCTGGACTCCAACAACCAAGCTCTCAACTGCTCTACTACAGTGCTAGGCAACTAGTTTATAAATTCTCTAAGAAAATAAACTATGGTTTTGTATTCTTCTCTTCTGAACATTAATAATTAGCACAATTGTTCAGGTAATTGCTACACACAGTTTTCTCCAGTGTTTCCTTCTAAAGCACTGAATCTGAAATTTGTGCATACAAATAGCTGAGGACTTTGTGAAATTGTAGACTCTGAATTCAAGAGAGCTGAAGTTGAACCTGAGATTTTGCATTTCTAAAAACTTCTAAGTAATGCTGACGTGGGCCCATGGACCAGACCTTGAGTGGTAAAGCTCTAAAACACATGCAAAAATAAATAAGTAAAACACATGCTACTTTTCTCCTGCAGATCTTGTCATAGTAAATTACTTTCTTGGGTGAGGTATTTTACTGGTTTTATCTCAGAATGAGTCAAGGGCCCTTAATATCACCAATGGCAGGAAATCAGATGGCCTCCAGCACTTAAAGATGAACAGGAGGCTAGGAGGCAGGAAATTGTTTTGCTCAAAATTTTATTTCCAAATATTATTTGAATAAATCAATTTGCTTGTGAAGCTGCATAAGCTCTTCAGAATCAGCAGTGTTTGAAACTGATAGTTTCTGTGTTTTTGGTAGAATATTCTCTTTTTATAAAAAGCTTTGATACTCTACATTTTTGAGAGTCATTCCATAACTATTTCTGTGAGTTATTACAGAAGAAATACAAGCTTTGCAGCCAAAAAGATCAGGAGCTGGCATTCCAACTCTAAGCACATAGTAGTTGAGTGGTCTCAGAGAAACTGATGTTCAAAGGGGTTAAGTTACGTTGCTATCAATCAAACTGGGCTAAGGCAACCTACCTCCTTAAATGTGTCATGAGAACTAAGTGAAATAACAGATCTAACCACCTAATGCAATGACTGCCACATGGTAGGTACTCTTAATTGTTTATCATCCCTCTTCCCTTAGCATTGAGAAAAATTACTTCCTACAATGTCAGTCTGACTCAAGTGGCAAAAGTAAATAAGAAAATACTTTCTGCCAACACTTGGGCTTTAAAAAAGTATTAAAGTGTTCAAGTAGTAACAGTTTAACATTTACTCAACACCTATTAGGGGACTAGGCAATGTTGGGGAACCTTTTTATTATCATCATCTTTTACATGTAAGAAAACAGAAAGATTAAAAAACCAGCCCAAGATCCCAACACTGCAACTCCATAGTTTGCTCCCTTAACAACTGACAGACAACTTGCCTCCCAGTAAACCCTGGGGGTGATGCCTGGTAATGCAGAGGAAATCAAAGGCAACCCCAGGGAGAGAGTGAAAGTCAAGAGTCACCATTCCTTGAAAGATTTTCAGAAATCAAAGTTTTACTTTCAAGCTGAGAACCAAATCAAGAACTCAATTCCATTTACAATAGCAACAAAAAAATAAAATAACCAGTAATACATTTAACCAAAGAGAGGAAAGATCTCTACAGGGAGAAAACAAAACAGTAATGAAAGAAATTGTCAACAATACAAAAGGAAAAACATCTCACTCTCATGGATTGAAAGAATCAACATCGTTAAAATGACCATACTGCCCAAAGCAAACTACAGATTCAATGTAATTTCTATCAAATTATCAACATCATATTGCGCAGAATTAGAGAAAACACGCTAGGCATTGTGGCTCACTCCTATAATCCCAGCACTTTGGGAGGCCAAGGCAGGAGGATCTTGAGCCCAGGATTTTGAGACCAGCCTGGGCAACATGGTGACGTCTCATCTCTACAAATAATCTTTTTAAAAATGCAGGTGTGATGGCACATGCCTGCAGTCCCAGGTACTTGGGAAGCTGAGGTGAAAAGATCACTTGAGCCCAAGAGTTTGAGGCTGCAGTGAGCTGTGATCATGCCACTGCACTCCAGCCTGGGCAACAGAGTTAGACTCTGTCTCAAAACAAAACAATCCTAAAGCTCGTATGGAGCCCAAAAACCCCCCAATCAGTCAAAGCAATCCTATTCAAAAAGAACAATCTGGAGGTATCATGTTGCCTAACTTCAAATGATACCACAAGACTATAGTAACTAAAACAGCATGGTACTGGTACAAAAATATGCACACGGATCAATGGAACAGAATAGAGAACCCAGAAATAAAGCCACATTACCTACAGACAACTGATATTCAACAAAGTTGACAAAAATAAATGGGAAAAGGACACCCTATTCAATGAATGGTACTGGGGAAATTGGCTAACCATATACAAAAGAATAAAATTGGACCCCTATCTTTTACCATATACAAAAATTAACTCAAGATGGATTAAAGACTTAAATGTGAGACCTGAAATTATAAAAAATCCTAAATAAAACCTAGGAAAAACTCTTCTGGACATTGGCCTAGGCTTGACTAAGCTTGAAGTCAATTCTGATGCCAACAAATATTAAAGAATTTATGACGAACACCCCAAAAGCAAATGTAACAAAAATTAAAATAGACAAATGTGACTTAATTAATCTAAAAGGCTTCTGCACAGCAAAAGAGAGAATCAACAGAGTAAACAGCCAACCTACAGAATGGGAAAAAATATTTGCAAATTATGTCTCTGGCAAACGACTAATATCCAGAATCTATAAGGAACTCAAAACAGAAAAAAAAAACAATCCTATTAAAAACTGAGCAAAGGACATGAACAGACACTTCTCAAAAGAAGAAATACAAGCAGCCAACAAGCACATGAAAAATGCTCAATATAACTAGTCAGAGAAATGCAAATTAAAGCCCCACTGAGCTATTATCCTACACCAGTCAGAATGGCTACTATTAGAAAGTCAAAAAACAGATGTTGGCATGGATGCAGAGAAAAGGGAAGGCTTATACACTGTTGGTGGGAATGTAAATTAGTTCAACCTGTATGGAAAACAGAATGAAGATATCTCAAATAACTAAAAACAGAACTATACTACTATTCGATCCAGCAATCTCACTATCAGATGTCTATCCAAAGGAAAAAAAATCATTATATTAAAAAGGCACCTGCATTTACATGTTTATTTGGGTTGTAATTATTTATTAAAGTAGAGACTGGGTCTCACCATGTTGCTCAGGCTTGTCTGGAACTCCTGGGCTCTCGCAATCCTCCAGCCTCGGCCTCTCAAAGTGTTGAGATCACAGGCATGAGCCACCTCACCCAACCTGCACTTAGATGTTTATTGAAGCACTGTTCACAATAGCAAAGTTATGACACCAACCTAAGTGCCATCAACAGTTGACCGGATAAAGACAATGTGATATATACATATCACATTTTCAATGACTATTGAATGTTCAATATTGAATACGCACACTATGGAATTGAATATATATACACACACTATACTATGAAGATACTGAATATACAAACACACACACTATGAAATACTATGCAGCTATGAAAAAGAATGAAATCATGTCCTTTGCAGCCACATGGATAGAGCTGGAGGCCACTATCCTAAGTGAGCTAACATAGAAAGATAAAAATGCTGCATATGCATATTCTCACTTATAAGTGGGAGCTAACTAATAGGTACACACAGACATAAAGACAGAAATAACAGACACTGGGGACTCAAAAAGGGTGAGAGGGGAGTGAGGGTACAATGCTATTTGGCTGATGGGTACACTAAAGGCCCAATCCCCACCATTATACAACATACCCATGTGACAAACATGTGCATGTTCCTCCTGAGTCTAAAATTAAAAAAAAAAAAAAATCAGCATTTTAGTTTTCCTTACTGGAGCTGCTTCTTTAGTTTGCATATTTAAATATAAGTTCACTAAAGGTACAAACCACATCCTAGGGATTCTCGTGTTTGTTAAACAGAGTCTCGGATCCAAGGGTATCGAATCAGATAGTTTATTTAATATATTATTTCCTCCAAACCTTAGCTCATTGTTAACTCCAGAACAGATTCCATAAATAAAAAGCTTGAAGTCAATTCTGACGCCAACAAATATCACAGGAAACTGACAGCAATTTGGAATATGAGTGATGAATATTAATGCTTTAGAAACTTAGCATGCTAAATAATAAAGGAAGCAAAAGAAACTAAAAATATCCAGGTAAACACTATATATTTTTCTTTTAAATTGTACATTCTACTCAATTGGAAGGGTGCCATGGTTTAGAAACCATTATGTACCATTACCCTTCAGAGAAGAAAGATCTGGGGTCAATCACGACATCTCAAATTACCCAATCATTATCCCTGTTCAGTAATTCAGATGACACTACCTAAGACACTGTGTTAATTATATACATAATGATGACAGATGTGCTCCTGAAAACTGATTGCGAATCTAAAGAGGGAGTGAGAAGGGAGTGATGAATGAGAGATTCATAAAAGAATATTTGTCAGTGCAAGGAATTAAATGGAAACTTCACTAAATAATTATTTCATTCACAATGACAGGTTCATAAACTGTTTTTATTACTAACAAAAAAATCAGATATTTCATGATCTAAAATAAATACACTAAAACAGTTTAATTTAATATAGTATGATTTCATTGTTACAGAAATTTTTCCTGAAAGAGATCTGAAGCATTTAATATGTCAAGCATTAAACTTCAAAGTAGGGTTCTGGCCAATTTAGTGTCTTATAATTATAGCTGTATGGTTTAGCACAATTACCATATTCCAGGGTATTAAATCACGCTACTCTCATGAGGAAATATTCCTTGTCTTGGAAAACAAAGTTAACAAACCACACAAACAAAAACATATTTCAAAGGCATCTTTCAAAGCTTCGTAAAGTAGTTCACATTTGCTCTGGAATCACATATTGCTTCACATCTTTCTGCTAAAAAAATGAACGTACACCTCAGGTTTATCATTGTCTAATCCTTAAGATCTTAAAAATTCTCTGTGCCATGACCTGCTTAGATACATTCAATGGGAACTCTCTGAAGAAAAGTGACAATGAATATTCCCAGAACCCTGGTCTTGTAGAGATGTTGATAAAATGGTAAGAGTCCAATGCTCAGAAACTAACAAAGCCCTACCCACCAGGTGCCTTTGGAATGGTTTCCATCTCATAAGAACCAAAACTTTAAGTGCTTATTCTTCTGTTTCAGCACTCCCTTTTAACCCCCTTTTCAGATCTGCAAAATGAAACACCAACAGAAACACCTGAGAAATAAAATCTAACCCTGTCATCGCAATCACTGCTGGCAGAAACGAACTGAGTTTTCAGGGAACTATCCAAGTGCCAAACTCTAAATATTTCACCCTAACTTACAAAGCTTTTCAAACACAAGTTTGAAAATGAGTCACGATTTGGGGGAAGGAAGGGTAGCATGAATCATCCTAGAACTTTTATAAGATTAAATTTCAGAGAATTTACTGACATATTGCCTAGTGTTAAGAATTAAGAAACACTATGAAATTAAAACTCTTAGGCTAAGGAAATGCCATGCCAACTTCTGCCACCCTAAAACAAGAACACCCAAAGCCACACACAGTTGCCACTTTGGTTTCAAAACCATAAATAAAACAGCGGATTAGATGAATCTCCATATTTGAAGGAAGAGAATTAGTCAGAATGAAGTGGCATTATTCTTTCCCCTGGCTAGGTAGACTGTTTTGTAGGAAAACACCTGAATAACAAATAAGTTTCCATCCAACTTCTTTATACATTCTGTAAAACTTTTGAAAATCAAGTACACAAATACAGTTAGTTATAATCTAGTACATATTTACTAGTACCAATCATTGCATCGTTATTCTCAAATGATTTTAACCTCTTTATAGTATTTCTTAATATCTAAAATAATACACTAACCTATAAAAAACTCATTTTAAAAAATAAAGAAGTAGCACCTACATGGATTCCTGTGAAAAGTAAATAGGAAAAGAATAGGAAGAATAAATAGAACATAGTAGGTGTCTCACTAGCACACTGACTTATCTTCAGTAAGATATGTCATGAGCATAAGGCAGTGCACACTTCATGGATACCGCAAAGGCTTTTGTGAAAAAGTCCATTTCTTCCAAGCAGTGTGTTTTGTGAGCAACTCTGCCACTTGCTCCTGGTCTGCCACACACAGCGTCACCATTGGGGTCCTCAACCCTGTGGACCCCTTTGCTGGTATTGTCACTGCTCCCCTAGGTCCTAGAGATCCTGGGGTCGCAGGAGGAGCCTCCATGCTTGCTGGGGGAGGCCTATTACATACTTATTTCCTCTTCAGCCCCACTTAGCTAGAGAAAACAAGGTCAAAAGGTAGATAATTTCTTCAGTAGAAGCTCAAATTCCAAGGAATAAGGTATCATAATAACAATAATTAAAGAAGATAAGCTAACAAATCACCTTTCTGTTCAGTTTTAGACTTTCAAGTTACTTTAACAGATTGTTTCCATGAAATTTATTATGTTTATGTTTTCTATGGAGGGAAAATTAGATTCTACATTCCCCTCTTTATACCAGTGTCCTTCATTCTATTATATACAATGGTTCATTAAAAATTTTTATGTCATTTTGAAACACAGACCAACACTCACCTTTATAGACTGTATGAGGCTAAGCTCTAACTAAGCAGTGACATTCTAGAAGGATAATTTGCCTATATTTGTCAAAATGTAAAACAAACCAACCATGTCATTTGGATAGAAAATAGGCAAACAAAATTAATTGCATATAAACTTTGAAATTATACATTTAAAAGGATGGAATGACAAGACAATAATGACCAAATATACTGGAATGTACACTTGACTCAAAATGGCATTAGCTTTGGCACTGCTGAGCCTCCCTACCCTAAATAAGCCAGTTTCTGCTTTTCCTGGCAATAGTCAACTGCTTCATTGTTAATGATACAGGGTGCATTAGCTTTGGAAGGAGAACCACAGCATGTGCTGACTTTTTTCTGCAATTTCCCAAAAGAAAGGACCCTTTCAGGCTTCAGAAGCACTTTAACATTAACTACAAACTCCTCTTCTCTTTCTGTAGATTCTCACTTTGACTGCAAACGCACCCTGTAAGACCACACATTAATTAACTGTGCTCCTGTGTAAGTTAGCACCTGACCACAATATGCTGTGGCTAACCAAGGAACAGTCATCTGAATCCAGGCTATCAAGTTAAAGGTATCACTTCACAGGCATTCGTCCAGGAGTTTGGACGGATACTCCTTTTACACACCTAGTGTGCCCTGTATCACACTTAGCACTGGCATCACTTCAGACGTGATCATTTTGCTTTTCCCAACTGCTTGTTGGCTTCTTGAAGGTGGAGATCATATCTTAAGTTCTTTGCTAGGCATAACATCACCAACATGTGGCAGGTCCACAATAAATGTTTGACTGATTAATTTATATTTGTAAAATAATTCTCACATTTAAATAACTAAGACCTGGCCAGGCATGGTGGCCCAGGTCTGTAAAATCCTAGCACCTTGTGAGGCTGAGGCAGGAGGATCACTTGAGTTTGATACCAGCCTGGACAACATAGTGAGACCCTCATCTCCATTGAAAAAAATTTTTCAATGTATTATTTTCTTTCTTACAGGGAAAACCTTTTTTTTTTTTAAATTTAAAAACTCAAAAATTTGAAAAATGGGCCAGGCGCCGTGGCTCACACCTGTAATCCCAGCACTTTGGGAGGCCAAGGCGGGCAGATCACAAGGTCAGGAGATTGAGACCATCCTGGCTAACAAGGTGAAACCCTGTCTCTACTAAAAATACAAAAATTAGCTGGGCATGGTGGCAGGCGCCTGTAGTCCCGCTACTCAGGAGGCTGAGGCAGAAGAATTGCTTGAACCCAGGAGGCAGAGGTTGCAGTGAGCTGAGATCGTGCCACTGCACTCCACCCTGGGTGACAGAGTGAGACTCCATCTCAAAAAAAAGAATAAGAGTCCCATCTGCCCTATAAGGTGGTTATGAGGCTTAAATGAGGCCTGGTCTATATAAACCTCTTAACTTGGCACAGTGCCTGGCCTGTTCTAAGTGCTGAGTAAAGGTCAAAAAATATTTTTTTTGCCACAATAATGTGAAGTTGGTGTTTGACCCACTGAGCCTCCTAAGTACCTGGGATTACAGCCATGCACCACCATGCCTTGCTAAATTTTGTATTTATAGTAGAGACGGGGTTTCACCATGTTGGCCAGGCTGGTCTCAAACTCCTGGCCTCAGGTGATCCCCCCGCCTCGGCCTCCCAAAGTGCTGGGATTACGGGCATGAGCCACTGCACCCGGCCTCTTATTCTGTTTTCAACAATGGAGGAACTGAAGCATAGATTACCTACCTTGCACAACATCCCACAGCTAGAGTGTGACAAAGCCAGGACACACCCAGGTAGTTGGGTTGCAAAGCCCAAGAGCTTACTTTCTATGTTCTTAGCAAAACTATTCCTATTTATTGCTGGTTTATGATAGTCTATAACCTTGAAGCTACTTCCAAATACTTTATTGCTTAATAACTAACCTCTGCAGAAGGGTAGACATTATTACAAATGAAGAACAGGTGGAGATAAAAATTTCATGAACATAGCCCTAATGAAAGTACGAGATACAGTACCTAATTTCTCTATTTTAAAATCCAATGTGCCAGTGCTTCCCACAGGTTCCCCTGGATATGCAACTTTCTGACTAGATGGTAGCTGAAAAGGATGTGATTTTAGGATCTGATAACTTCATTTGACAATATACTTAGTTATGGAGTGGGATTTTAAGCAATATGGAAAATACAGATGGTCATAACATTTTATGAATAATTTTCCAAAGCTCATTTGAAACCCTATAAAAATTTCCTTATGGGGAAGAATATGTTATAAATGGAAATAAGCTTGCAAAATCTTGTCCCCACCCCTATGGCCTACTTAACTCTTAATCCTTTATTTATAATCCTATAATTACTAATCCTTTCTATTGGGAAGTTCCTGGTAAATTTTTCTTGTCATTTTACCATTGAGCCTGACAGAGTAGGCTCTTCATCAACATTTATTTTCCTTTGTAGTCATTTAACTTTCACTCATAGAAGCTTATAGTTCAGGCTTCTATGAGAGATTGCACTATTCACTGTCCCCTGTTCTTCACCCCTCCCTGTATACATGTCCTTTGTAGGGATTTCATCAACCCTTGTCTCAAGAGTTTGACCATTTGTCTCATTTTAACCAACAGAATGAGGCAGAAATAACAATGTGCCAGTTTTGAGCCTGGGCTTCCAGAGGCCATATGTGTTTCCATTTGCTCCCTCCTGCTTCTGCCTTTACCATGAGAAGGCCTGAGCCAGCCTGCTGGTGGAAGCAGGATGAGAGACATGTGGAGGGAAGCTGCCCCAGACAACCTGTCCCAGCTAACTCCACCCTACTCCCTACTATCTTGCAGCTCAGCTGAGAACAGCAGAGCTGCTGCAGCCACCATTTAAAGGATAATAAATAGACTGGGCATGGTGGCCCACGCATAGTCTCAATGAGTTGGGAAGCTGAGGTGGGAGGATCCCTTGAGCCCAGGAGCTCAAGGCTGCAGTGAGCTATGACTGCACCACTGCACAGCCTGGGTGGCAGAGTGAAACCCTCACCTCAAAAAAAAAAAAAAAAAAAAAAGAAGAAGAAGAAGAAAAAGATGAGAAATAAATACATTTTTGGAATTACAGTTATATGCTAGGTTCTCCATGATCCATTATGCACACAACTTCACAACACCAGCAGCATTCATCAAATTAATATTTATTTGGCTTCTTGATGAATTTGTGATTTTTAAAAAATCCTGTACCCTCTGTAACTCTGCTGCTAGGGTAAAGTGCCCTAGGTATAGAGTTGGTTTGAACCAAGTTTGGAGACTTGGTTTGAAGCTTAGTGTCTGCCAGTTGCTAACCACATAGAAAAGTCACAGCCTCTTCAGACCACAGAATGATATGCTCAAACCACATTTCAGGTTCCCTGGAAGCTGTTCCTTCTCCCATATCTCATTTCCTCAGAGTTAGGATGAGAAGTAAGCACTTGCTACTTGCTCACAGTGACTTTTCCAATCACTTCTCCACCCTTAATAAAAACAAAAACCCCATTCCTTTGAATCTCATGCCATCTAATGACACCAGTTTGTATTCTTCAGTTCTGACAATCCCCTCTTCAGTTAAGGCTTTAGAACTGGGTTCATGTCTTCTCCATCCCAGGTACTTCAATTACTGTGGGTGATATCACAGATCACAGTGATGGTCAGGCAACCTCCTCAGCTCCAGTGTAGTCAGCACCACTAAAATTCTTCTGCCACTGCAGCCCACTGCCACATCCTGGACTTTATCATTCAGAGGGACCGTACTTCTAAATCCTTTAAATAAAATATCTTCATGATTACAAACTTCCTGTTCTTCTGACTCTCTCAGTCTTATGACACCCATACATCAACCTCTGGAATTTCAGTCTCTTACTTACATTCCTCCCTTCCTCCACGAGATTCCTCCATCCTTGGTTTCACTCCCCTCTCCACGGTCCACAATTTAAGGGGGTCAAAAATCCATGACTTGACTTTCCTGTGAGTGCCCATAACTGAGAACACTCCAAATCTTGATCAACACAATTCTCTACATTCTTTGTACTTTACTTGGGTCAGTGAATGCAACTGGAGAAACCCCACAAAGCTCTGTATGTTCACGATGCCACTAATAAGTCCATGGTTTCCATCTCACTTTCAAAGCTGCTTCCATAAGCAAGCAGCTTCCTTGGTTAATAGAGCTTTCTTCCTACTAAACATCAGCTATTTCCTCATTTTCTTTATAGCACTTTTCACTATGAAAAATGTTAAATTTAAGTTTACTTACCTATTATCTGCCTTGCCACACTGGAATTCAAGCTTTGAAAGAGCAGACACTTTGTCTTATTAACATTTGTACACTCCATTCAAGTTTGTGAGACAGATGAGCAAATCCTTATCCTTTCTTCAGGTGGCTTTCCCTGCTAAGTGTGGGTTAGGTGCCCCTTTTACATCATTTCACTGCAGCATCCTGCACTTCCTCTTTCACAACACCTATCACACGTTGTATTTTATTCTCCTTCATTGCTTTCTTCTTGAAGACGGTGATGGGTCTTAATGACCAATTGCATGTCTTGTACTGAACTCAGAGCTTTAAACAGATTTGAGTACTACTCATTATATTTGAGTAAATATTTAAGTGCTCGTTTGTCTTCAGGGCAGCATTTTATGAAACACCAGTCCAAGGAGACATTAATAAGGTATTCTTGCATTAAAGGGTTCTGTGGCTGAGTAATATGAGAAATGTTCCAACAGATTTCTTCACTTCAGGACTTTTAAAAGTTTCTGATATGCTAATGTGCACTGTGAATCTCCAAGAAGCAAGCTTTTCTCAAATACAACCTGAAACTGAGAGAGACAGTGTGTGTGTGTGTGTGTGTGTGTGTGTACACGTGTATGAGAGGCAGGTGTTTTTTTTCCACTGCTCCAGAGAACAAAAAATAATTTAGAAAGACAATCTTCCAAAATTTAGCCCATAAATTGTTCAAAAGCATACTAAGCAGACTTTTCATTATAAAATGAATTAAATCAGAATTTTCTCATAGCAAACATTCTTACTTGGATTAGGTAAGTCAGCAAACAATTTTTTAAAACATATACTCATCTAAAAGGCAAAACAGTATCAAAAGGGAGAGGGAGGTAATTGTTCACCCCGTCTCAGTGAAATGGAACACTGCAAGGAATAAAAAACACATCAGTCTCAAAAAAACAAACAAACAACAACAACAACAACAAACATGATTTGGGGAACTATGGCAAGAATAACTACAAACCAAAACTTTAGTCCAAATAGCACACCAGGCTGCAGAAAACAGGATGGATTTTTACAAGGCAGAAAGACAATTTTTAAAAAATATTTTTAAAACTTTTGCTGCAAGAAAGCAATTATACGTGCTTCCTAGGCACTTCCAACACTGCAGAGAATTGTTTTCAAAGTAATATAAGCAACTTAGACCAAAGAAAAAAATCAAAATTGTAAAATCTCCAAAAGATTAACATATGCACCCTTACTTCACATAAAAAATAAAAATAAACTGTTTCTTATGAATGACTAAAATTTTCTTCAAGACCTTATTTTTGGTGAAGTTGTCAACACATCAAGCACTGCCGTATCTAATTTATTTCGCAAAATAGACCCTACCATAACATTTTAAGAGTTTATACACAAAAATGGCCAGGCATGGTGGCTCATGCCTATAATCCCAGCACTTTGGGAGGCCGAGGCAGGTGGATCACCTGAGGTCAGAAGTTCGAGAGCAGCCTGACCAACATGGTGAAACCGCATCTCTACTAAAAAATACAAAAATTAGCTGGGCGTAGTGGCGGGTGCCTGTAATCCCAGCTACTTGGGAGGCTGAGGCAGGAAAATCACTTGAACCTAGGAGGTGGAGGTTGCAGTGACCCGAGATTGCGCCATTGCACTCCAGCCTGGGCAACAGAGCAAGACTCCGTCTCAAAAAAAAAAAAAAAAAAAAAAGAGTTTATACGCAAAAATGACATGCAGGAGAGAATGCTTTCAAAATTTATAATTCTCATTTCCTGAATTTCAACATTGTATCACAACTACTAAATTCTGTTTTCTGAAGAAACTCCTTTAGTTAGCAAATAATTAGAACTGGACAATATTTGGGGCTACATGAGTTTCCTTGAAAAGCATGCAAAGACCTTAGAACCCTTTTCCTATCCCAACTGTACTCTCTTCATCTCCCTGCTTTGCTACAACCCTTGTTTACATGACTCATGAACTGAATCTAATGCAACCTACTATTAGATGGACATTTTATGTTTACACATTGTAATTAGCTGACACTGAATGATTATTAGCACAATCAGTTATCAAACCCACAACACCTTGTTCACATTCTCTTATCAGAGAGAAAAATATACATTTCATGTTTAATTTGGAAATGTTGACACAGGAACTTTTTCCATCCTTTGAACCAGTTCTCCCAAATTTTAAAAAACACTGCCTTGGTTTATTATATATGAATGTACTATATCCTGCTATATCATCCCTTTAAAACCAAACAGTAAACTTACTTTGCCATGTT